>NC_000003.12:166887392-167038907 GCF_000001405.40 Homo sapiens | reverse complement strand
ATCCTAATTAATTGAGAGAGATTTAAAATAAGGAGAAGAAATAAGTGAGAGTATGTTTCCATGCACTGCTATAAAGAACAGTAAGCCTCATTCTGACCACATCCGTGAGTCAAATTGACAAATAATGCCCAGGATGGGAAGTCCTCTATGGTAACAGAGTGGAAAATTTGATGTTAAACACATCTGGGTCCTAATTCTTCTCTGATTTTTACAAGCTGTGTGGACTTAAATAAACTATTCTAATTCTCTAAGACTCCATTTTGTCACCTGATAAAGACGTTTTGTCCTACTATTGTTCTTTCTTCTGGATAATATTAAATAAGATATTTGTAAATAAGACCTAAGAAGCTGCCGAAGGCAGTGCCAGGCTAATCGTAGATGCTTACAGAATTATAGCAAACTGTACAGCAATCTGGTAAAGTAATTCAGATGCTATTGCTATAGATCTGTATCATTCTATCTTTTAAACTAAAAATTATTTGGATGGATGATCAGGATCTGTGGTGCTCAGTGCAGTTTTTTCTCTGACATGTCTGAGGGATAGATAATGGTCTACTGTGGTAGTGATTCCTAAAGTCTCCAGGGAACATGTATATACCTGTGTAAAATCTCCAAATGACTCTAATAGCCATACCCCCTTTCTCCATCTCCTCCACTAGTTGCAGTTAATCTCCACTTCCTCGTATGTAAATCAGAGCATTTTGATTTTACCCTTATTTGACTCTACATAGTATTTATTTAAAGTCTAAGATTTAACAGATGAGGAAGATGTCATTTCAAATTTAATCTTGAAATGGATATTTTACAGTAAGAATCTTGCATATTTATTGACATCACCAAAATAATATATTTCGTTAGGTGGATATACCTAAAATAACATTGATATTGACTGATTATCCTAGTCTCTGAGCTCCAGTCATTCATTTTCCTCTTACCCTTTTTGAAGAAACTGCAGCATATGCTTTCTAATTGTTTGTTGAAGAAATTTGTACATTTATGCTGCTGCTTTTCCTCCTGCCTCTGATGGCTGGTTTTGGTGTGTTTTTTTTTTTTTTTCAACTTGTAGCAAACAGAAGACAAAAAGACAAATTGGTAGGAAAGGCTGAGGCTGAGGTCTTAAGATTGAAAATATATGGGCAGTATCCTCAAAGTCCTTAAAACATTCATATAGAGGAACTCTTTTCATCTTTGTCTATTTTTCCTCTTCTTTTCCTCATCCCTGCTGCCAGCCTATCACAGCCATTTTGCCACTAAGAGGTGGGCCCGACTAAAGGAACTGACATTCAGGACACTACTTTACTTTAGTTGACCCTTGGTAAAGCAACTTTACGGAGGGTCATTTCCTGACAATTTGTCAGGACATTTGAATGCTGTGCAGTCGGGAATCTAACAAGTTTTGGCCTCCTTGATCTAGAAGACACAAAGAAGAAACTTCTGTCAAAACTATTTCCAGAGTTCTTCAATGCGGCCTAAGCACCCTCAAAATTAAGACTCTTACACGGTTTAAAAGTTGTATAACACTCTTTTCTTTCTGTCTATCTCTTTCTATCTATTTCTTTCTATCTCTACAATTGTTAGCACTTGCACTGCTTATATGTCCGTAAAAATAAATAAATAAATAAGATACAGCTTTCAGTGAGGAAAATGCAGCATCTTGGGAACAAATATTTATAGGATGATTTTTGTGAGTAGAACATTCTCAGTTTTATGGTATTACTGTCTCTCTCTTTACTTTTTAATTTTAATTAATTAATTAATTAATTAATTAATTAATTTTGAGGCAGAGTCTCACTCCTTCACCCAGGCGCAATCATGGCTCACAGCAGCCTCAACCTCCCAGGCTCAGGTGATCCTCCCACCTCAGCCTCCTGGGTACCTGGGACTACAGGCGCATTCCACTACCCCCGGCTAATATTTTGTATTTTTGTAGAGACGGGATTTCACCATGTTGCCCAGGCTGGTCTTGAACAAATGGGCTCAAGCCATCTGCTGATCTCAGACTCTCAAAGTGCTGAGATTATAGGTGTAAGTCATGGTGATTGGTCTGCTTTCATTTTTACATTTATTAAAGATTTTTTTTTCTTTTTATCAGATTTAGGCATGAACCAAAATTTATTTCAAGGTTACTACATGAAGGGGAAATTTTTCAAACAACACTACATGTTTTTCATTTACATTTATTCCTTTCCTATTGTTTATGCACTGTTATGAAACATTTTGAGATACACATATGGGCTGGGCACTGTGGCTCACGCCTGTAATCTCACCACTTTGGGAGGCTGAGGCAGGCTGATCACTTGAGGTTAGGCGTTCAAGGTCAGCCTGAGCAACATGGTTGAAACTTCTTCCCTACCAAAAATTAGCTGGGCATGGGTGCATGAGCTTGTAGTACCAGCAACCCAGGAGGGTAAAGTGAGACCATCACTTGAGCCCAGGAGGAAGAGGTTGCAGTTAACAGAGATCATGCCACCGTACTCCAACCTGAGTGACAAAGTGAGTCCCTGTCTCAAAAAAAAAAAAAAAAAGATACATATATGGAAAATTTCTTGTAAGTAGAACAGAATAGTTGAATTGAAGCTAAAGCCTTGACTGGATTTTTTATTTGTAAGACATTATCTGTTTCCAAACCATTTTAAAATTCATATGGAAACAAAAAAGAGCCCAAATAGCCAAGGCAATCCTAAGCAAAAAGAACAAAGCTGGAGGACAAAGCTATCCAACTTCAAACTATAATGTAAGGCTACAGTAACCAAAACAGCATGATACTGGTCCAAAAGGGACACATAAACCAATAGAACAGAATACAGAATCTGGATATGAGACCACACACTTACAAATATCTAATCTTTGACAAACCTGACAAAACCAAGCAATGGCGAAAGGATTCCCTATTCAATAAATGGTACTGGGATAACTGGTTAGCCATATGCAGAAGATTGAAACTGGACCCCTTTCTTACACCGTACACAAAAATTAACTCAAGGTGGATTAAAGACTTAAATGTAAAACCCAAAACTATAGAAACCCTGAAAGACAACCTAAGCAGTACAATTCAGGACATATGCATGGGAAAAGATTTCATGACAAAGACAACAAAAGCAATTGCAACAAAAGAAAACATTGACAAATGGGATCCAATTAAACTAAAGAGCTTCTGTACAGCAAAAGAAACTATCAGCAGAATAAACAGACTACCTACAGAATGAGAGAAAATTTTTGCAGTCTATCCATCTGACAAATATCCAGCATCTATAAGGAACTTAAACAAATTTAAATAAAAAAACAAAGAACCCCATTAAAAAGTGGGCAAAGGACATGAACAGACTCTTTGCAAAGAAGACATGCATGCAGCCAACAATCATGAGAAAATCTCAACATCACTGATCATTAGAGAAATGCAAATCAAAATGAAAATGAGATACCATCTCACAGTAGTCAGAATGGCTATTATTAAAAAGTCAATAAAATAACAGACACTGGCAAGGTTGTGGAGCATAAAGAACACTTCTACACTGCTGGTGGGAGTGTAAATTAGTTCAACCATTGTGGAAGACAGTGTTGCGATTCCTCAAACACCAAAAGACAGAAATACCATTTGACCCAGCAACCCCGTTACTAGGTATATACCCAAAGGAATATAAATCATTCTATTATAAAGACACATGCATGTGTACGTTCATTGCAGCGGTATTCACAATAGCAAAGACATGGAATCAACCTAAATACTTATCAATGATAGACTAAGGAAAATGTAGTAATGTACACCATGGAATACTATGCAGTGATAAAATAGAATGAAATCACGTCCTTTGCAGGGACATGGATGGAGATGGAGGCCCTTATCCCTAGCAAACTAACACAGAAACAGAAAATCAAACACCAGATGTTCTCACTTATAAGTGGGAGATAAATGATGAGTACACATGGACACATAGAGGGGAAAAACACACATTAGGGCCTTTTGGAGGGTGAAGGTTGGGAGGAAGGAGAGGATCAAGAAAAACAATGGGTACTAGGCTTAATACTTGGGTGACAAAATAATCTATACAACAAACCCCCATGACACAAGTTTACCTATGTAACAAACTTGCACTTCTAGCCCTGAACTTAATATAAAAGTTTTTAAAGAAACATTATCTGTTTCCATACACGATATACTTTGATTAAAATTATGGAATAAGGTTGATACACATTTTATTTTAGAAACATCCATTGCAAAGAAGAATCTGGAACAATATCCCAGTATCTAGTTCTGACATTTAGGCATGGTGAATTTGTAGTACTATCAAAGGTTAGATTTAGAAAGGATGTAAAATGTATTCTTGTCCAATAATTTATGGTTCAAGAAACCCTTTATAGAGAGGTGTTTAGACTGAGATAATATTTACTGCAGAGATATTAAATGCCACTTTTACTGTATTTTGAATTCTAATGTATTTTGAATTCTACAGCAATCTTGTGAAGTTGGGCATTTTTTGTCACTAATTTAAAGATAAGAGAGATTTGAAGCTATGAGGTAGTTGCTGTATGCCTGTTAGCAAGTAGTTAATCAGATTTACACCAAGTTGTCTTTTACCAGTAAATACTTGTTAATGAATAGATCAAGAAATGGACTTACAAGAATGATGTAACTCTGTATCCAACACATCATTCTTGTACCAGTATATAATTATTTATTTTAGTTTATCCCATTCAACAAAGCTTAATTGACTTGTATGACCTTAACTTAGCACTTTCCACTAAGATTAGTATAATTATAATGGCACATGTCTTTGCTGATAAAGAAATGACCTACACTGATTCATTATGAAATATATATGTGCAAATTCCAGACCCATCAAAAATTGATACTTTGGACTTATTAACGTTGATTTATGATCTACCCAGGAAATTACATGAGTGGGCAGATATTTAAGTCCCTAGGCTTTTCCACGTTACCCTAAAATAGAAACAAGTGTGTATTTAATTACTCCCATATGTGGCTCCTCTTCTAACAGAATTATTATAACAATTAGAATATTTGGACATGATTCAGTAATTTTGAATAATTTGCAACCTAAAGCGCTGGTGGAAAACACAAATTTATTTCTAATTATATTATTTTAAAAGTCTGACCACACTGCACTCCAGCCTGGGCGACAGAGTGAGACTGAGTCAAAAAAAAAAAAAGTCTGACCAATTAATAAATGATGACATTTAATTTCTGAGTATAAAATAAAATTATTTTAGGTGTCTTGTGTTGAGAATATTATCAATTCTACTTGATAATTAAACATCTGTACTTACATTAATATTTAATTCTGCTTATAGACGTCCACGTGGTAATGAAAATCTGTAAGAACTTTTCATTCATTTATAGAGTAGATATAAAAACCCTTGAGAACTTCCTAGAAGCTGGTATTTCTAATAGGAGAAGTAGTAGCAAAATGCAAAGAGATGGTATATTATGTTCACAAAGAGAGTAAATTGTTGTCAAATAATTAATATTTTAGCATTATTTTTGAGAATAGTCAGTGATTATTTTGAGAATACTCTGATTTTATTTTTCGAAAGTCAAATCTTTGTTAGAATATTGTTCAGGACACTTTTTAAATAAGACCACTCCTTCTTTTTCCACATTTTGCTTATTAAATTTTATAAGATGTAAATCAAGGTAGAGTAGCTTATATAGACCTGATTTTGTAACACTGAGTTATAATAAAGTTGTATAAACAATATCACAAAATATGCTTGCATTAGAGGCAAAATGTTCTGGGTTTTGATGCCAGCATTATCATTCACTAGCTGCAAAAGCTTGGCCACTTTTTTCTATATGCCTGAACCTCAATTATTCTATCTAAAAAGTGAGATATAGATAATGTTTACATCAGAGAGTTGTAAAAAAAAAAAAACTAACAATTACTTAGCATTTAACATATACTTAGTAGGCACTTTCAGACAAACTATTTATCTTTTAATCTTCAAACCAACAATGTGTAATAAGAATTATAACCCAAATCATTTTCAAGATAAAAAAATAACTTTCCATGTTTATATGGTTTAATGTGATTGATAAGGAAGATAAATTCACTTGGTTCAAACTCAGGACTACGTAGTTTAAAAGTTCATGCTCTTTGCGCTATACCAAAATGTTAAAATCTCATGAGAAAATACTTAATACATGGATGGCACTCACCAATTGTGAGTGTAAGTGGATGTGGGAGTTTTTCACACCCAATGCAAAATTCACCCTCTCTTTAAATCTCACTTTTTTTTAGCTTCAATTCAAACATGAAACCAGAGGGATACATTCGTGTGTGTGTGTGTGTGTGTGTGTGTGTGTAAATACCTTTTAGTTTATGATCCAAACCAGATTCAAGTGAAAACATTGGACATTTTTTCTCTGGTTGCAAAATGACTTAGCTTCAATGCGATTCTCAAGTAAGTAACCAACAGGGGGCATGAGAACACTGCTATTAACTGTCATTGGTGCTTGTCTGGTTTAACAAGTTTTCATCTGACATTTCTAAAACACTTAAAATATTATTCTAGCTGGCCGTAGTATTTGTAATTGCCTTACTAGATCTAGTTGCTGAAATTTAGTTTATTAATAAAGTGCTGTAACTCTTTATTAATAAAGTACAATTAATATTGTAATAAGTGCAATATTAATAAATCAAGCATTTTTATTAGCCAGGCATGTGTAGGGGAAAAAGTTAAGATTGGGAATTCAAATGAAAATGATTTAAATTAGCACAGAACTGAAAATGAAAATGTGATGCACATAAATGGCCCCATTATTGCAAGATAACAGAATGCTGTTCAGGCATTTTTCCTGTAACTGAGCAGACCACTAGTTAATTGTATATCTCTTTACTCTCACACTTCCCAATAGAAACACTTTTGTCTCTGCTATTTATTATGAAAGAAAACGTTTAAAGAGGAGAGTACAAAAAAGTTTGGGGCTGAATTCTAGAATGAATCACCATTCAAAAGAAACCTAATAGTATGCCAGTTGTTTTTATTCATATAACGTCAAATAGAGAATTATGTCTTTAATTTTCTATCAAATTTTGCTTACTGGTGCATTTATCGGGAGAGACTGAGGAGGGAAGTTGTACTTGGTTTTTTCCCTGCTTCCCACCGGGAAATTTAAGAGTCCTGAGAACTTTCAGGCAAGCTGTAGAACTTTACAGATATAACTTTTATCTGGGATTCTCACGAAACGTGCCAGAAAGGTCTTGTTTTGCTTAAGAATGGAAAGACCAAAGATATGACTGATTTTCCTTGCGGCTGAAGTAAGATAGAACGAGAGGAGAACCAGATTTGTGGGTTAAAGGGGGAACAGGTGACCTGCAAACGGTGCTGCATACTTGCTCTTGGTTCTTAAAGAACCCGCTCCTCCCCCCGGGGCTGATTTATTCAATACTCATACTCCAGATTCTTTATCAGCCGTGTCATTATGATAAGGATTTGCTAGCAAATTAATTTAGGTCAAACTTTTTCTCCCATATTTCTCTGGGAGTATTATAAAACAGTTCCAGACATGTTGGTTTCATATAGCAAAGTGACTATTGCATGTTACATATGTGTTAAGTATGATAGCACTCAGTTGTAGATGTGTGTTTGTGGTTTCAGGATCTTAGGATAAAGAGGAATTGCCTGCACATTTTCCCCTGGGCTAAGGTAGTTATGTAGATGTACGTTGTAATCTTTTGTAATTGGTTTATTCCAGGGTTTGTTTAGGACTTCACCTTTACTTAACTTAAAATAGATCACAGTTCTAAGAGGGGATTAGAGCCCAATCATAAGATTGGGTGAGTCTGTCCAGACACTGGACCTATTTCAGATTGAGTAAATGACAAAGCAATTTCCTGTTCTTTAACGTTGTGTTTCTATTACCAACCTTATTTTCCTTATTTCTGCTTTCCTCCCCAGTCAGCCCTAAAGACTGTCTCTCTCCGCTGTGAATCTCTCTCATCTTACATATCTAATCCACTTCAGCTGAAATCCATATTCCCAGTCACATTAGAATTTAGATGTCTGAGAACTCAGTTAAGAAGCAACTGAAATACATTTATCAGGCAAACTTCTCCTGATTTGATAAAGGACACTAATTATAGTGTTCAGAAAGTCTAAATTTTTGTCTCAATTTTCACCTCTCAGAATTTTACATTTTCCCACTTTTAAATAATTAAAATGCAGTCTTCACTGCAGCCCTGCCCTTGACAGTAGTGTTTTGAGTTTGTTTGACAGTGGTATTAATAGATTTTCTCTAATCCACCCTCTCTTGTCTATTTCCTCTTGCGACCAATAGAACTCATTTGGTCCGTAGCCATAGAATTGAGTGAAACTAACTGGCCCATATGGCAATTGAACTTGCAATCTTAACGTTATTAACACCACACTCCAACCAGCTGAGCTAACAAGCTAAGAAAATCAAATTAAACACTATACACAGCTCCTGGTTAATTACATTTTCCTCTTTTGGGCTCTTCATTATGGCCACTTTTTCCAATTACCAGCTTCTAAAGGGTAAGGATTGAGTCTATGGGGCTCTTGTTCATTTTGCTCTTAGTTGAAATTATAGACTGGAATGTGCTACTTAAGTTCAGGCAGCAAAGTCATGAGCATATACTAGCAAAATTATGGTACCTAATGTTCTTTGACAGAGGTTGAAGGAGCACATTTCAAACATCCCAAGAAGACAGCTGCTGCATTTGTAGTCAAAAGGAGTGATGGAAATGGGCTTGGCAGCTCTTTGATTCATTTTCTGTGCATCTCCTTTCCCGTCTCTGAATCTTAATCTTATTTCTGCCCCCATTCCTACCTTACTTCCTGCTAGAAAATATGTACTGTGCTTTCATGTGAACCCTGGATTGCAGATGAAGCCTGACTTCTAATCATGCTTAATGACCTGCCACCTTAACATTATAGCTGAAGTGCATATCTATTGTGTCCAGAAATCTGACTTTCTAAGTAGTATATGTAAACAACAACAATCTGTCTGTGATTCTTGATAATTAATCCAGTGTTCTACTCATCAAGCAGCAGTGCGAACAGGACCTAATTCTTTCTTTGCGTAAATTGCCAGGCATGGATAATAATAGTTTTACTAAATTTAATTCATTTTAATTAATTAACATTTTGATGTGTATGCATTTATAAATTCCCTAGGCATTTACCATATTAATGTTTTACGATGAACCATCATGTCAACAAATATTGCGTCTGAAATGTTTAAATACGCTGGATCTTTGAATGCATTGCTAGCTTTACTTTATGATGCATTATTTAAGATGTTGGTTTTTGAGATTGAGAGAAGTCAATTACAGGCTCATAGAGTGTCTTTTAATACAACCTTTTAGTTTGTATTCCTCTGTGGATTAACACAATTTAGGAGACAATTTAATAGAATAAAATAAACGCTAA
The DNA here is from genome assembly GCF_000001405.40 of Homo sapiens. Classification (NCBI taxonomy): domain Eukaryota; kingdom Metazoa; phylum Chordata; class Mammalia; order Primates; family Hominidae; genus Homo; species Homo sapiens. Next base: position 167,029,496 of record NC_000003.12, on the reverse strand, counting down.
ATATCAGTTAATAATTATAAACCATTCTAGTACTCAAGTTCTGCAAGGAGTCATTTTTGTCTTATTTATTACTTGAAATAGTGGTCATTAAATTTGTTTTCTTGGAGAAAAAGCCAGGTTTCTTTTGGCAGATATACAGAGATCATGTACTTCAACTTCATTTTACACATGGAAAAAAAAAAAAGTAAAGAAAAAACAAGAGGCATAATGAGGGAAAGATCTTCCAAGCAAGATAGTATTATAACCAAGAGACAGCACCAAAGTCGCTAAATGTTGTGAAATTAATTTTGTCCCACACCCCAAAAATTCGTATGTTGAAACACTAACCTCCAATGTCACTGTATTTGAAGATAGGGCTTTTGAGGAGGTAATTAAGGTTAAAAAAAATCATGAGTGGGGTCCTAATCCCAAAGGACTAAAGTCCTTATATGAACATCAGAAGTAAAATGCACGGAAGAAAAGCCATGTGAGGACACAGAGAGAAGGCAGCCATCTGCAAACCAGGAAGAAAGAGCTCACAATAAACCAACCCTCCCGGCACCTTCATCTTGAACTGCTAGCCTCTAGAACTGTGAGAAAAAAAATTCTGTTGTTTAAGCCACCCATGCTGTGGTATTTTGGTAGGGCAGTGAGAGCTAATACACCAAGTTTCTGCTCAAAGTTCTTCTGTCACCCTATACTGCTACTTCTGTGGTTAACAAAAAGTATACCTTTTAGCTATGACATGCATCATTCTACAGGTGCCGTAAGAGCTGACCTCCTCTTAACATAGTAAAATTAATTTTAAAATCAAATAATGGTAGTGAAGGGAATGACTGGCAAGTACTGGATCCCTCCTCTATGCTCAGAGCCTGGCACAGACACTGGCACAGAGCTAGTGCTAACCTACCTAAGGACCTCTTCCCTCCTTCTTTTCAAAAGTACTCTCAGAAAAAATTGTTACTTTACAACTTCATCTGAATAATCCTTCCATGTTTTATCTCTGGAAGATAAAGAGTGGTATCATGTTCTCTTGTCTATTTTTGATGCAAAATTCTAATCAGGTTCTTGACCAATGGCTGATAAGACCTGGAGCCCAAGGCTACTGCACATTTTAAAAGTAAGAAAAAATAGCCTAATAATTCAGCAAAATTCTTTATTGTAAGCATAATACAGGCAAAAAGAAATTATTTTGTTTTAGGAGTACTGTTAGTATATATTCTATGTTCTTTTCTTTGTAGGTTGCAAGTATCATTTAAGGCATGAGAGAGATACAAATTTGAATAATTAAATTAGAACTATTTGCTGAATTATTTGTCTTATTTGGTGAATAAAATCCCCACAATAGTTATGTAACATTAACCCTTGGTGTTTAAGATCTTTTTTAAGAATAATAAAATGTAAAAAGCTACAGCAAGGACAGAAGTCCTACTTTTACATCCCATGGTTCGATTTTGATACAAAACAATGACTGTGGCTCTAGCACAAAAATCTCTAACCTTGGTCAAATGTGATTTCATTCAAGCTACATTAGAAAAGTCATAAAATGTGATAAATTTTATTTGATGCTGTTCAGATATTTGAGTCATAGAGACTGCATGACCTTTTCAGGTTTCTTTCAGCTGTAAAGATATAAAATGTTTAGCTATGGACCTTTTATTTGACTCCACTTGAAATTTCAGTTGGGATTATCTAGCAGTCCTTTGTTTTTAATGCAAACATTGCTATAGCAAAAGGCATTAGAACTACTGAAGTAAAATATTCTAGGGCAGTAGTGGCAAAAGATAAATGTGACGTTTATTAGTAAGTTAGTGGCAATTAGTTAATTATCTTTTTAATTTTTTATCATCTCTCAACAAGACTAATTATTAGTATGATAACCTATTTCCACAGTTGGCCTTTGTACCTTTTCTGTGCCTGGGACACTCTTCCACCAGAACTTGACAGGGCTGCCTCATTATGTTTCAGGACCTAGTTCAAATGGTACCTCTTCAATAGGTCTTTCTTGGTTACTCCGTATCTTAAAAAAAACCTCTCCTTTCTCAATCCCTGTTTATCTTCATTAGGCCATCTTCCTCAAAGTATTTATCACTATTTATACTTATCATACAAATATATTTAATGGAAATTTTGTCATGCAATTGTATTACAAATGACTAGAACAGAGCATTACATTTATTAGGCAATTAATAAGTGTTACACTAATTGAACACAGAAAAGATTACAGATGATATATTGTATGTTGACTTTCAGCATCTATATTCATGTCATGTATCTTCATATCCATCACTCAATCGGGTTTTACAGTGACACCTATTCCCATAAGGTGTAGGTTCAAGTTGCCATGTCTTAACTTGTAATTGTTGTTTAAGATAGAATTATCACCTTTGATTCTAAGGTTCTTTTCAGTTTAAGAGTAGATGCTATTCTTGAAAACAACTACTATATGAATGTCTATATTGAAATATTTTCAGATAAACAGATATTCTTCACTTAGGTAGCCAAAAACTACTACTGTCAAATGGACGATGTTTTCTAATCTGGGGTTGGTTCTTGTGAGTTTTACTTATGGTTTTATTCACTTTGTTTATTCATTAACCAGATATTTTAAAAATACCTACTATGTGTCAGATACTTGGTTCAGAACTGGAAATATTTTGCATGAGAAATTGACACAGTTTCTGCTCTCAAGGAGATTATGGATGGTGGGAATTACAGAAAAATAACAAGTAAGCAAAAATAAATATGTAATTACATAGTGTCTTATGCCACCAACAACTGAAATGGCTTGAATAATAAGAAGTGAATCTGCAAGCCATTTAAGGAGATCAGAAAAAAGTCTCTAGTGAGGTGATTTTAATTCCAACTTAGAAGAATGAAAAGAAATTGGTAGAAGTATGTACAGTAATAATGTAGTATGAGACAAATACCATTTTATTCCAGTCCCTTATTTTCAGTGTATATCACATTAGAAACCATTTTTGAAACCAACCACTGGAATTGTAATGTTCTTGTTGCAGCTGATGTGTTTTCTTCTTATGGCTTTTCTTCAGAATCAAATGCCGAGTGAAAGGGGTATCTGTTTTCCAGCAGTCTGTCGAATATGTTGCACACTGGAAACTGGAATCAATTGTAAATCTGACAACACAGTGAAATGTTCAGTTAACTTTAAACTGCCTTTGAGAGAACACAAGGGAGTTCTGAATAGTCTAATCACTTTTTCCAGAAGGCACCTGTGATTTTGTTAATTTGCCTCTGAGGAAGTCCATGCAGAGGGAAAAGAGAACATACGGCACTCAGTAGCTGAAGTAGGTAAACTGCTGTTTTGCACTTGTTTTCTCTTTATTCATCATTTTGCAAGAGGAGCTATAAATTGGTTAGTAAAAAGGAATCTTGAAATACTTCATTACATTTTTTTTCTTGGAATCTATGTGCTCCTGGAACATATATCTGTATGTGCATAGTTATTTGGAGACCTGCTTTATGCTCCAGAATAAAGCATCAGGATTTAATATTTAGTATTTTTAAAAGTTATATATACCTATAGGTATATTTACCTATATATATTTATATTTTAAGCATTTCAAATGTATATACATATGTGTATGTGTATATATGTGTGTGTATGTGTATATGTATGTGTGTGTGTAGACAGAGAAAAAGAGTATATTAGTAGAGAGAGAAAGAAAGAATGAGAGAGAGAGAGGAAGAGAGAGAGAGGTGGAGGTAGCGGGAGATTGGTTCCAGGACTTCTTATAGATACCAAAATCCATAAAGTGGTATAGTATTTTCATATAACCTACACGTATCTTCCTGTATACTCTAAATCATCTCTAGATTACTTATAATATCTAATACAATATAAATGCTATGTTAATAGTTGTTATACTATATTGTTAAGGGAATAATGACAAAAAAACTTTGTACATTTTGAGTGCAGATGCCATTTTTTCCTAATGTTTTCAATTTGTGATTGATTGAATCCATAGGTGCAGGACCTAGGATATATAAAGCCAACTGTGTATATTCATGTGTGTGTGTGTGTGTGTGTGTGTATACATATATGCACAATCACTATGCAATACACACACATATATACATACATACACACACACACGTATGTATAAAAGTTTTTTTAAAAACATTTTGAACAGTGACTTCCAATATTCTTATGATTTGGGTAAATAAACTTATTTTACCTCTGGGAATATATATTCTGAGAAAGTAATTAAAAGAAGAAAATGTTACAAATATTAAGATATTCGTTGGTTTCTTACTATGATAAAAAATCTTGGAAGCTGTCCAAATGTCCAACAATTTAAAAATACAAATTTTCTTGATATTACTGTGTATAATTTGTCTTCAGCCATAAACCAAAATTGTGAAGAATATAAAGCAAAATTGGAAAATCTTTAAGCTAAAATGTTAAGTGTTGGAGAAGAAGAGATAATTATACAATTTTGCATTTCCTCGTAAGTCACTATTCACTGGATGCTCCATAGATGCTCAAATACAACATACATAGGGCCTCAATTTCCACTTCAAAACCAATCTCCTTTCCGTATTCTTTAGCTTGTTGAACTTCATCACTATAAACTCCAAACTGAGAATCTAAAACACTCATGTTTGTCCTTCATATTTCCCTCTCTGAAAATATCTGCCATCTCTGTTCTTCCTTCCCGTGGCTTTTACCCTACTTGGCCTGGTCTTCGCCATATCATGACTTGTCACTCAATGTTGCCATATTAATGTCTCATCTTTCTTCCTCTAGATTCTCCCTTTTCTTTCTTTCTTTTTTTTTCTTTTTTATTGAGACGGAGTCTTGCTCTGTCGCCCAGGCTGGAGTGCAGTGGCGAGATATCTGCTCACTGCAAGCTCAGCCTCCCTGGTTCACGCCATTCTCCTCCCTCAGCCTCCCGAGTAGCTGGTACTACAGGCGTCTGCCACCGCACCCAGCTAATTTTTTTGTATTTTTAGTGGAGACGGGGTTTCACCATGGTCTCGATCTCCTGACCTCATGATCCGCCTGCCTCAGCCTCCCAAAGTGCTGGGATTACAGGAGTGAGCCACCGCACCCGGCCTAGATTCTCCCCTTTCTAACAAATATTTCCCACTAAGACACAGATGAAATCATGTCAGTGTTCTGCTTAAAAGTATTGATGGTCTTCCAGTAAATATGGGATAAAATCTCAACTTGTTTTCATTAAATAAGTGCTGACAAATATGAACTTGTATATTTTCCCTTTAGATGACTAGTGAAGATTTAAAATTCAAAAGAGAGTTTGAAACTTTTGGTAAAATGAATAAAGAGATCATCAAATTACAGCCAGATGCAATATTGAAGATTCTGGGTGCAAGTGTGCATGCAGAAATCTTTGACAGCTTACTCTGTATAACCCCACGTTTGAAAGAGAAAATTACAGGATTTTACCTATGTGTAAATATTTTTGAGTGAGCATAGATAAAGGTGTAAAAGGATACATGTCAGTGTAATAACATAGAATGTAGAGGAATATTGTTTTTAATTTATATATATTTGTTGCCTTAATGGTTATGGTAAACATGTAGTGATTTATTATATTATTACATTTATTTAACATTAAATTTTTTTTAAGTTGAGCCTTGATTGAAAAAAAAAGTAACAACACTGGTGATAATTATTGTTTTATGATTAAGGGTTATCATCAGGATAAACTATTTTGTGCATTCTAGATTGCCAACTTCAATTCTTCAGGACAAGAAACAATAAAAAGATTTAGGACACATGCTCTACAGAACAGAGAATGTACATGGCTGGAATATAATTTCAATTTTAGTAGTGTTTTTCTCGTATTTAATAGATATCTGAATAGGAAGATTAATATCAAAAAAAGTATAATTGTTTGGAATTCAACTGTGACTCATGTCAAAGGAAAAAGTAATTTTGAGTATATTATTTTTTCTTATTCTTGACATTTGACACACAGTATTGAGAGATTTTGCCTGCTCAGCATTAGACATTGGGAGTTGGATTTAAAAGACAGAGTTGAGGCGAACAAGATAATCGCAATAACCTTCAGTCCTCCTTGAAAGTGACAGAAAGAGTAAATGACTTTTTAGGTTGTACCTAAATTCATATAGACGGAATTCTAACATCTGCTCCTAGGGAGGCTACAAGCAAGAATTGATTGGGTGCATAGTTATCATTTGAATCTACATAGGGATTAAAACATTTAATCAATAGATATTGAATAAGTAATTCGTACATGGTCTGCTAAAAGAGATATATGTTGCTGGCATATTCTTTTAGAAAGGTTGATTATTGTCTTTCTCTATCACTTTCAAGAACAATTAAGATTTTAATTAACAGAATCCACTTTATTTGTCAAGAATTTTAAGTATTCATTTAGGAAAATTCCTCCATTTACCAGTTATTGCTGGGCCTGTTTGGCAAGCATCATGAAGAATAGAAGCAGAAGGTAAAATTACTTTCAGATAGATGCATCTTTCAGCTTCTCTTGATATCCTTACCCTATAACTTTTCTTTTGCTTTAATGATTTTTGCTCTTTTCATGGCCTCAAATATCCAGTATAAAGTGTTGAGTGTAAAATGTATAATTTGAAACAAATTTTATTATAATTTTCTTTCCATATAATATAATTGCATCCCTGCACATTATATCATCCTTGTCTTTTTAAATATCTTGATATCTTTTAAGAACACTAATAGGAATGAACTAAAAGAGGAAACTAGTAAGCAGAGGATAATTTTTTTATGACTGGGAAAACGTATTCTTAAAATTGGTGACTGCTTAAAAAATCATGTATGTGTTCAAATGATTGTTCATCTAAGAGTTTCTCAAATAACACCCACCCATCATATCATTTATTTTCTCCTCTGTGTTCTAACATTTGAATCAGTTGAGACTGAGCAAAGTATCTCTTGCTCAGGGAAGAGTTTCCTCTATTCAGCAATCTCAAGTAGGCAAGGGAGCCCTCCTTTTGTCTCCCTTGAATCATCTGTGTAACTCCACCAAACCTGTATTGCAATATGTGGTGATATTGGTTTATTTCCTGTTTTTCTTACAAATATGAATTTACAATTTTTATCATACCATGTATAAAATATCTACAAATAGAAAATCAGACATATTTTATTTATTTACCACATATTTAGCCTTTTATTGACCTTCATTATGTTTCACATTTCTGGTATCATTTTCTTCCCATCCAAAGACTTCTCTTTACTGTGATTTGTCTTCAGTGTGGGTCTAGCTGACAACATATTTTCTCAGTTTATGTTTGCATTGGAATGTTTTCAAATTGCTTTCACTTTTAAAGAATATTTTTGATAGCTGAAGAATGTGAGGCTGGTAGTATTTGTTTTTGTTTTCCCCCAGCAATTAAAAGCATCAACTTAATATCTTTTGGTTTTCATCATTTCTCTTGCAAAGTAAGCTTTCAGTCTTGTTGCTGCCCCTTTGGCTGTAATATGTCTTGTTTCTTGCAATATTTTTAAGATTTAAAAACATATTGTTTACTCTCCTTATTCTCCTTGGTCATTTATGTTATAATGTAGCTAAATGAATTTTCTTTATATTTATATTGCTTGGAGTTCTTAGAACTTCCTATATCTGTAGATTAGTGTATTTTATCAGTTGTGAAATTTTAGGCCCGTTGTCTCCTCAAAAATTGCTTTTGCCCTATTATTTATCTCTTCTCCTTCTGGAATAAAGTTGTGCTTATGGTAGACCTTACAAGACCTTACAATCTTTGTGTACTGTTCACCCTTTTTCTTTCCTCTTCATGTTTAAATTCGGATATATTCCATGAACTCATATAGTCCAACACACTAGTCTTATTTTTAGCGTTATCCAACATATTCAGTTCCTAAGCTCTATCACTACAGTTCTAGAATTTCCACTTTTTTCTTTTTTTATTGATTCTAGTTCTCTGGTAAAACTTTCCATCTTGTCATACATTTTAAAAATGATATTAATTATAGTTATTTTAAAGTTAATGACTAAAATTTCAAAACCTTTGTCACTTACGGTTTTCTTTTTGTATTTTCTTTTAGTCTTATTCTTAGGTATTCTTAGGTATGTTTGTCAACTTTGGCTTAAATTAATAGACATCTGTATAAAAAATGGAATATACTTTAAATAATGCCATCTTCCTGCAGAGCAGGTTTACCCTGTTCTCCAGCAGGAAGCAGAGGAGCAGAGCACTTCAATTCAATCAGGGAGTGAAATGGCTCTAGTCTGAATTGACTCTGGGCTGAGTTACAATCTGTATTAGTCCGTTGTCACACTGCTGAGAAGAAATACCCAAGACTGGGAAATTTACAAAGAAAAGAGGTTTAATTTACTCACAGTTGCACCTGGCTGGGGAGGCCTCAGGAAACTTACAATCATGGCTGAAGGCAACTCTTCACAGGGCAGCAGGAGAGAGAATGAGTGCCCAGCAAAGAGAGAAAAGCACCTTATAAAACCATCAGATCTCATGAGAACTCACTCATTATCATGAGAACAGCATGGGGCAACCACCCTCATTATCTAATCACCTCCCGTGAGCTCCCTCCCCCAACATGTGGTGATTAAAATTTGGATAACAATTCAAGATGAGATTTGGGTGAGGATGTAGAGCCAGAATATATGACCATCTTTGTAATGATTATTCTCTAATTTTTCCACTCCTAGTTTACAGCTCTCAAAGGTTTCAAACTAAGAGTTGGAGGTTTCTTAAGATATACCCTCGTTGCTAGGACCTGAAATATAACTTTGATTCTCAAGCAATGCAGCATAACAGTCGTGCATTGATTTTTAGTTACCTTGCCCCTTTTTATCCTCTTGTCTTGTGCATCTTATTCCATAAATGTCTTGTGGGAAGAACCAATGCCCACTGTTGAGCTGACTTCTCTAAGTCTATCTTCTCTCTGGATTCTATCACTTCAAATCCAGGCTCCCATAGCACCATAGATTTCCTTTTTTTTTTTTTTTTTTCTGGCTGTGTGAGTTACTGATACTGATAGCTCTGTAGTCTATTCTAATCTTAGTAGAAACTTGTTGTCTAGCTCTTGATCTCCTGCTATCTTCCAATAATTAACCATTGTCCTCAGGGGAAAGATGAGGCAAAAAATGGAGATCATCTCAGTAAGCTTCATCTTAAGCCATAGTTGCTTTATCAATTTCTGATGCATTCCAACAAAATTTGTAAAATTTTAATGATGTTTTTGCTTTTCCTTTTTAGGAATGTTAGCTGAGTACAAACTATTCTATCATAACCACAATGCAAGTCGATATTTTGGATCACTTTTAATGTAAAATATAGCCATTTATATATTTCTGATTATTTCACTAGTCTTATTTGTTTAATAAATTGATAAACTGTATTCTTCTTTGATCATCAGTCTCTTGTTCAATGACTGGCAAACCTGAGCAGCTGACCTCACTGATGCTCTCTCTGACTACCCTGCCTTTGTTGGCAGCTCTCTCCTGTCTAGTCTAGCTACAGTAATTTAGTCATTCTCCTTTTGTATTGTATATTTGAAATGTTTTATTTATGAACTGTGGTTATTTCATGTTAATACTTTTTTGATTAAGACAGTCATCCATTCTGTTTTGTTATATTTACTTTTCAGTTTGCATCAATATATATGTAAGTAGTATATTATATATATGTTATATATATTTTTATCTATAAATAGCGGGATAACTGATAACAAATTAGACTTTTAGAAAATCAGTTTAGCTCTCTCACTATACACCAAAAAACTCCAGATTAGTGGATGATTTAAAAAATGAAATAAATAATAAATCATAATATTTTTTATTTTTTTATTTTTATTTTTATTTTTTTTTAGTATTTATTGATCATTCTTGGGTGTTTCTTGGAGAGGGGGATTTGGCAGGGTCATAGGACAATAGTGGAGGGAAGGTCAGCAAATAAACATGTGAACAAGGGTCTCCGGTTTTCCTAGGCAGAGGACCCTGCAGCTTTCCACAGTTTTTGTGTCCCTGGGTACTTGAGATTAGGGAGTGGTGATGACTCTCAACGAGCATGCTGCCTTTAAGCATCTGTTTAACAAAGCACATCTTGCACCACCCTTAATCCATTTAACCCTGAGTGGACACAGCACAAGTTTCAGAGAGCAGGGGGTTGGGGGTAAGGTTATAGATTAACAGCATCCCAAGGCAGAATTTTTCTTAGTACAGAACAAAATGGAGTCTCCTATGTCTACTTCTTTCTACACAGACACAGTAACAATCTGATTTCTCTTTCTTTTCCCCACATTTCCCCCTTTTCTATTCGACAAAACCGCCATCATCATCATGGCCCGTTCTCAATGAGCTGTTGGGTATACCTCCTAGACGGGTTGGCGGCCGGGCAGAGGGGCTCCTCACTTCCCAGACGGGGCGGCTGGGCAGAGGCGCCCCCCCCCTACCTACCAGATGGGGTGGCGGCCGGGCGGGGGCTGCCCCCCACCTCCCTCCCGGATGGGGCGGCTGGCTGGCGGGGGCTGCCCTGCACCTCTCGGACGGGGTGGCTGGCCGGGCGGAGGCTGCCCCCCACCTCCTGGACGGGGTGGCTGCCGGGCGAAGACGCTCCTCACTTCCCAGATGGGGCAGCTGCCAGGCGGAGGGGCTCCTCACTACCCAGACAGGGTGGCTGCCAGGCGGAGGGGCTCCTCCCTTCTCAGATGGGGCGGCTGGGCAGAGACGCTCCTCACCTCCCAGACGGGGTGGCAGTCGGGCAGAGACACTCCTCAGTTCCCAGACGGGGTCGCGGCCGGGCAGAGGCGCTCCTCACATCCCAGATGGGGCAGCGGGGCAGAGGCGCTCCCCACATCTCAGTCGATGGGCGGTCGGGCAGAGATGCTCCTCACTTCCCAGACGGGATGGCGGCCGGGAAGAGGTGCTCCTCACCTCCCAGACTGGGCAGCTGGGCAGAGGGGCTCCTCACATCACAGACAATGGGCGGCCAGGCAGAGACGCTCCTCACTTCCCAGACGGGGTGGCGGCCAGGCAGAGGCTGCAATCTTGGCACTTTGGGAGGCCAAGGCAGGCGGCTGGGAGGTGGAGGTTGTAGCGAGCAGAGATTACACCACAGCACTCCAGCGTGGGCAACATTGAGCACTGAGTGAGCGAAACTCCGTCTGCAATCCCGGCACCTCAGGAGGCCGAGGCGGGCAGATCACTAGCGGTCAGGAGCTGGAGACCAGCCCGGCCAACATGGCCAAACCCCGTCTCCACCAAAAAATACAAAAACCAGTCAGGCGTGGCGGCGCACGCCTGCAATCCCAGGCACTCGGCAGGCTGAGGCAGGAGAATCAGGCAGGGAGGTTGCAGTGAGCCGAGATGGCGGCAGTACAGTCCAGCCTTGGCTTGGCATCAGAGGGAGACCGTGGAGAGAGAGGGAGAGGGAGAGGGAGACCGTGGAGAGAGAGGGAGAGGGAGAGGGAGACCGTGGAGAGAGAGGGAGAGGGAGAGGGAGACCGTGGAGAGAGAGGGAGAGGGAGAGGGAGACCGTGGAGAGAGAGGGAGAGGGAGAGGGAGACCGTGGAGAGAGAGGGAGAGGGAGAGGGAGACCGTGGAGAGAGAGGGAGAGGGAGAGGGAGAGGGAGACCGTGGAGGGAGAGGGAGAGGGAGACCGTGGAGGGAGAGGGAGAGGGAGAGGGAGACCGTGGAGGGAGAGGGAGAGGGAGACCGTGGAGAGAGAGGGAGAGGGAGAGGGAGACCGTGGAGAGAGAGGGAGAGGGAGAGGGAGACCGTGGAGAGAGAGGGAGAGGGAGAGGGAGACCGTGGAGAGAGAGGGAGAGGGAGAGGGAGACCGTGGAGAGAGAGGGAGAGGGAGAGGGAGACCGTGGAGAGAGAGGGAGAGGGAGAGGGAGAGGGAGACCGTGGAGGGAGAGGGAGAGGGAGACCGTGGAGGGAGAGGGAGAGGGAGAGGGAGACCGTGGAGGGAGAGGGAGAGGGAGACCGTGGAGAGAGAGGGAGAGGGAGAGGGAGACCGTGGAGAGAGAGGGAGAGGGAGAGGGAGACCGTGGAGGGAGAGGGAGAGGGAGACCGTGGAGAGAGAGGGAGAGGGAGAGGGAGACTCTGGAGAGAGAGGGAGAGGGAGAGGGAGACCGTGGAGAGAGAGGGAGAGGGAGACCGTGGAGAGAGAGGGAGAGGGAGAGGGAGAGGGAGCCAAATCATAATATTTTTTAATGTGAATTAAAAGCAAAGTAGAATGTAAAAGGGCCAGACAAAATATGGATATTTAAAACCTATTCAGTAGAAAATTTTATTCCAATTTTTTAAAATGCTATGCCAAAGAAATGCCACTAATAGGAAAAACATTTAAAATATCTAGAAATAAAAAAGTATAACTAATAGAAAATCAAATACCAAACCATTTTAAGGTCTAAAAATAGTTTTAATACTATGCAATACTATATTCCTAGAAAGAAATATTTAGTACTCTAAAATTAAGTTTAAGAATTTTTAAATACATACTTTTATTCAATGTTGTACACACACACACACACACACACACACACACACACACACACACACGCATACACCAAACTCTCCAAAAGATATTGTTTTAAGAAAGAAGCAAATAAAAAACTTAGGATATTTTTCCTAAATCATTATAATAAAAATTATACTTCCAATTATATGAAATGCCTAAAAAATAAACACCTTTCCCAAATATGTATACTATATGCATCTATAACAATATCTTATTTAAGAAAGGACAAATTAATGAGTAAAAAAGTCTATATCACCAAAATATAATCTCTGATATGTAATAATAAGTAATAAAGAAGGTATCACAAATTAATGGGTAGCAAAAAAGTTAATAATAACAGATGTTTCCTTCAAGTTCTAATTAACATTATTTTTTCAGCAATAATATTAAAATTGGTTAAATGATTCCTTGATGTCTTTCAACTGTTCACATTATTTTTGTTGTTATTAATATATTTGTATTACTATTTGATGTGATGAGTTATAGTATTAAATTTCCTAACATTTTCTTTACACTTTTATTCATCACATAAAAGCTGCATGATAATAGTGACTTTTAAAATGCACTATTGAATGCTGCTTTCTTCTTTTTTTCTATTGTGGTAAGAATGCTTAACATGAGCTTTACTTTCAACAAATGTTTAAGTAGACTGTATAGTATTGTTAACTCTAGGTACAACGTTATACAGCAGATTTCTATATCCCACTTATCTTGTATAACTGAAACTTCATACCCATTGATGTTTTCTAATTTTTGTTTGAGTTTCACATTTTGTGCCTAAAATTATCCTGTCTGTAACTTACTTTTCTGTGCTACAACTGTTAGTTCTTATAATCTATTGTGTATGCTATATGAGCAGAATAGAATAGGTTTTGAGCTATTTCTATGTTCTTGAAAGCTCATATTTGAAAATTCATTATTTGAATTTTTGAATATTTTCAAATTCAAAATATTTTGAATATTTGAAAATTCATTCATCTTGAAAACTCATTATTTGGGAGCATTTATGGATAAAACCATCTAAACACAGAACAAGTTTTATAGAATAATCCTTCAATGATTTTCTCAATTTCCTTCCTTGTTACTGGCATTAAATTAAATTAGGTCTAAAACAGCCTCTTTACATAGCAAACTATAAAATAACAATATGTGAACAAACTGCAACTTAGCTTGAGGTTTTAAGTGTTCTTGTTGGCCAATCACAGTAGTTGAAATTCAGCCAACCACAGGCTGCAAACTTCTCATATGTGTCTAAATAAGGCAAAGGTAGAGCTGCAACCAATCAGGCTATTATGGTATGTCACTTTTCTTTTTTGTCTTAAAATACTACCTACCTACATTGCTGGGTGGAGTTGTCTGAACTTTTACTGGTTCTGGGTGGCTGGCCATTTCATGAATCACTTCTTTGCTCAAATAAACTTTGCTAAATTTAACTTATCTAAAGATTTTCTTTTAACATTGGGTTTTATTCAAATTTTAAATTTTTTGTTTTGGAAATTTTGGTAATTTCTAGTTTCTACAGAGCTATCCATTACATTGAAAATTGTATCTTACTGACACATAAAACAATATTTTCTAAAAGTTTTCATTACAAAGAAACCTGTTTTATTTTAGGTATCCCCATTATCTCTAATTTTGTCATTTTTCACATTTTTTTCCTTTGGGCATTATGCTGATTAAAACAAAACAAACTAGGACCGAAGAAAAAAGTATGTGTGTCTAATTTTACCCAAAGAACTTTAACAGACTAAATGTGAAGTTAGAGAGCATGGATTATCCTCAGCTCCCCCAGTGAACCCGTGTCGATGGAACCTTCATTTCTGATAACGGAGCTGGAAGTTAGAGTCATTCGTTTAGTATTTCACACTTCTTGATTTTCAGTAGGTACAATATTTGAAAAAGAAAAACCTTCTTGCTCTGGGGCTCTAACCTAAGCAATATAAAATAAGATCAGCAGAGCTAAGGCTGATTCATGCAAGCTCTGGTACTTTGCACCACAAGTAAAAAAATGCCTAAAGAATACTCAAGCACAAGTATCAAGTACAATTATAAGTGTCAATATAAGGCCTTGACCTAGATTCTCTTTCTGCCATCAGCAGATTATTTCCTGGTATTGTATTCTTGTGCATCTCAAATGGTTCTCTTCCCTGTCCCTGCTGCTTATCTTTTTTTATTGCTCTTCATACCATATAGCATCTCTGCTATATGTTGTCTCATTTTGTTCTCTCTTTTCATCCTCCTCTAACTTCTACCATCTCTCTGACCAGTCTAGCTCTATTTTGCTGATTGCATGCCTTCAATGCCTCTTAATTGAGGGCTATCTGTGTATATGACCAATATTTCTTATTGAGACATATGGTTTTAGTTTAAGGAAGCCATTAGTTTGAGCTTTCTTAATCCTATCTTTATCTTTTTTTTTTCTTTCTTAAACTTATTTACCCAATGTGGGGTTTGTTGAAACCACTGCAAATATCTGAAATTTTTTTTAACTGTATTTCTAAGAATTTGTCATGTAGAATGAGAAATGGGAAGGTAGTAGGGGAAGGTTTTAGTGCCTGGAAATCTCAATATAGACTTTAAACTTTATCTGGAAATATTTTTCTCATTACATAACTATGCTAAAGCTTTTTCTCTCTGAATGTCAAAAAGAGTAAACTCAATGGAAAAATGAAGATAGAGAAACAGGGACTACTGTGGTACAACAGCAGATATTTTGGTCTAAGCTCAAATAAATAAAGACATAAATACCTGATGCTGTCCTATTTTGAAAACAAAAACAATTTTTAGCAAAGAATAGTAGGGACAAAACACCAGAGACAGAAACACTATGATCGAAACTACTTTAGTGACCAGAGTATAGAAAACAGGCAATTAGGTATACAAAGGAGAGTTTGAGATTGCAGAAGAGCATTATAACCTCACTCTGTTATTTCTAGAAACCTATTGAACTGAGACCATATTCCTTGATAAAATCATGTCAACCATTAAATAAATAAATAATTAAATTGAAAACATATTACAGATCATAAGCATAATCAGCTTCTTTAATAAGTGCTACTGGATCCCAGCCAATTAAGTCTAATTTTAAAATTATTGAGTATAGTTAAGTGAATGCTGAGCATTACAATTATTTCAGCAGCTCCTCATTTCCATTAATACTGAATAAACTACACAGGATTTTCCATGCAATTATGGGTGGAAAGAATCTAGAGATAGTGTAACAAACATGCCAATATTTAAATATCAGTGGCTTGATACTGGTAAGAAATTATGGAGATCTGAAATTTTAGTTACCATTTCAAATGGAAATAATGTGTGATATAGAAAAGAAAAAAAAGTTTGTAATATGACAGTTTACTCTAAACATTTAACTAATTTATTTAAAATGTGACTTTTATTTCTTCTCTGATATATTTATGTTGGGTTTCAAAATTGAAGATAATGTAAAATAAAGCAATTAGCAATGCAGCCAGAACAGAGACCAACTAAAGCTCTATTATTATTATTATTATTATTATTATTATTATTATTACTGAGATGGGGTCTTGCTATGTTGCTCAGACTAGAGTGTAATGGCTATTCATAGGTTTGGCTGTAGTGCACTAAAGCCTTGAACCCCTGGGCTCAAGTGATCCTCCTACTTCAGCCTCCCAAGTAGCTGGGACTACAGGTGTGCACCACTGTACCTCGCTCTAAATTTCTATTTCTTAATGATGGGTAGTTATATACCCCTTTGAGAATCTTATTAAAGTTTTAGACCTTTTTTGAGAATGTATATACGTAGAATTTCAGGGATTTCACCAACTTTATGAAACCCATCCATGTGAACCTAAGGTAATATCTTCTGTTTAAAGGTAGTGAAAAGAGTGGACTTGTGAGATTCTAACACCGTAAAGTTGCAATTTGAGGCCATTCAATATGGCTCTGAGATTCTTAGCAACTGAGTTGAAAAGGGAGGTGCATTTAATCCAGTTTCAGTGTTATTTGAGGGTTTCTATTCACCATAAATATGTATAAATATGTTATATCCATATATTAAGTATACAAATATGTGGCCTCATAAAAGTCAAGTACCATATGTGTGTATGAACGTATATACATATGTGTGTGTGTCCACAGAATATTGAGCAATCACTAAGAATGGTATTGGGCAATCATGGGTTTTATGTAGGAATTCAAGAATTGATATTATTAGGGATTATACCTCTTTAAGCTATACATTATTTGTGCATAAATATTTATGTGTTGTATATTATTTTTAAAGGGGAATGGGACACACTACTTTAAAATATCAATTTCTCAAAAGGTAACATGGCTAATATGGTTTGACTCTGCATCCCCACCCAAATCTCATCTCAAATTGTAATCCCCATGCGTCAGGGGAGGGACCAGGTAGGAGGTCATTGGATCATGGGAATGGTTTCCCCTTTTCTTGTGATATTGAGTGAGTTCTGTTAAGAGCTGATGGTTTTAAAAGTGTTTGATGGTTCACCCTTTGCTTGCTCTCTCTCTGCTTCCACCATGTAAGACGTGCCTTGCTTCCCCTTCACCTTCCGTCATGACTGTAAGTTTCTTGAGGCTTCCCCAGCCATGGGACACTGTGAGTCAATTAAACCTCTTTCCTTTGCAAATTACCCAGTCTCAGGTAGTATCTTTATAGCAGTGTGAAAATGGACTAACACAGAGAATTGGTACTAGCAGAGTGGGGTACTGCTATAAAGATAATCTGAAAATATTTAAGCAACTGTGGAAGTGGGTAACAGGCAGAGATTCAAAGAGTTTGGAGAGCTCAGAAGAAGACAGGAAGATGTGAGAAAGTTTGGAACTTCCTAGAGACTTGTTGAATGGTTTTGACCAACGTGCTGATAGTGATATGCACAGTGAAATCCAGGCTCAGGTGGTCTCAGATGGAGATGAGGAACATATTGCGAACTGAAGTAAAGGTAACTCATGCTATGCTTTATCAAAGTGACTGGTGGCATTTTGCCTCTGCCCTAGAGATCTATGGAACTTTGAACTTGAGAGAGGAGAGATGATTTAGGGTATCTGGCTGAAGAAATTTCTAAGCAGCAAAGCATTCAAGAGGTGACCTGGCTAATTCTGAAAGTGTTCAGTTATATGCATTAACAAAGAGATGGTTTGAAATTGCAACTTATGGTTGAAAAGGGAAGCAGAGCATAATGGTCTGGAAAATTTGCAGCCTGAACATGTGGTAGAAAAGAAAAACTCATTTTCTTGGGAGAAATTCAAGCTGGTTGCAGAAATTTGCATAAGTAGTGAGGAACTGAATGTTAATAGCCAAGATAATGGGGAAAATGTCTCCAGGGCATGTCAGAGACCTTTACAGCACTCCCTCCCATCATAGGCCCTGAGGCCTAGGAAGAAAAATGGTTTTGTGAACTAGGCCCAGGGCCCCACTGCTCTGCACAGCTTTGGGGATTTAGTGCCTTGCATCCCAGTTGCTTAGCTCCAGCCATGGCTAAAATGGGCCAAGGTATAGCTCTGACCGTTGCTTCAAAGGGTGAAAGTCCCAAATCATGGTGGCTTCCACATGGTGTTGGACCTGCAGGTTTGCAGAAGGCAATAATTGAGGTTTGGGGACCTGTACCTAGATTTCAGAGGATGCAGGGAAATGCCTGGATGTCCAGGCAGATGTCTGCTTCAGGGGTGGAGAGCCCTCATGGAGAACCTCCGCTAAGGCAGTGAGGAAGAGAAATGTTAGGGTTGGAGACTCCACAGAGAGTCCCCACCAGGGGCACTGCCTAGTAGAGCTGTGAGAAGAGGGCCACTGCCCTCCAGATGCCAGAAAGGTAGATCCATAAACAGCTTGCACCATACACCTGGAAAAGCCACAGGCATTCAATGCCAGCTAGTGAAAACAATGGCTGGTACTGTATCTTGCACAGCCACAAGGGCCGAGCTGCCCAAGCCTGTGGGAGCCCACCCCTTACATCAGGGTGCACTAGATGTGAGACATGGAGTCAAAAGAGATTTGGGGGTTTTAAGATTTAATAACTGCCTTGCTCTGGTTTGGACTTGCACTGGGCCTGTAGCCCCTTCATTTTGGCCAATTTCTCCCACTTGGAATATAAACATTTATGCATGCCTGTACCTCCACTGTATATTGGAGGTAACTAACTTGTTTTAATTTCACAGGCTCATAGGCGTAAGAAGTGAGTTGTCTTGTCTCAGATGAGACTTTGGACTTGGACTTTTGAGTTAATGCTGGAATGAGTTAAAACTTTGGGGGATTGTTGGGAAGGCATGATTGGTTTTGAACTGTGAGAAAGATGTGAGATTTGGGAGGGGCCAAAGATGGCACGATATGGTTTGGCTCTATGTCCCCACCCAAATCTCATCTTGAGTTGTAATCCCCACATGTCAGGGGACAGACCTGGTGGGAGGTGCTTGTATCATGAGGAATGTTTCCCTCATTCTGTTCTCATGATAGTGAGTGAGTTCTCACAGGAGCTGATGGTTTTAAAAGTGTTGGCAGTTGCCCCTTCATTCACTCCCTCTCTCCTGCCACCACGTAAGACATTCCTTGCTTCCCTTTTGCCTTCTGCCATAATGTATGTTTCCTGAAGCCTTCCCAGCCATGCAGAACTGTGAATCAATTAAATCTCTTTCCTTTATAAATTATCCAGTCTCAGGTAGTGTCTTCATAGCAGTATGAAAACAGACTAATACAATGACCAGATATAAAAGACTACTTAATCATATTGTAAACTAGGTACAAAATGTTAAATTAAAAAATGCAGGTTTAAAAAGTTTGGAAAATAGGATATTGTGTCTGTAAAACAACCAAGTATGTACATATATACAAGTACATGCATGGAAAATAATATCTTCTACAAAGTGTTAACAGTGGCTTTCCTTGATTGATTTTTGCCATTTTTCTTTTTGCTTACCTGTAACTTTTAATGTTTTATAGAACTACATTTATGTGTAATACTAATCAAAACAATGAAAGTTTTCAAAGGTATAGGATTAACAACAGGGAAATTAACAAAAAAATATGATCGCAAATTAAAAACAACAAACATGTGTTTCTGATCCTCATGTAACTAATTTGAAAGCCCCATTCCAGTCATTTCTGTCACACTATTTGTCTTCTCCAGACAGCCTTTCGTCCTTATGCTTTTGTAGCTTAACTTTTACTATTAATAGTTATTTCTCTTTATTATGCTTAACTGCCAAGAAAAGTTTATGTTCTTGAAGTCTCAACACCTGGAATATAGTAATTACTTAATGTATATTGTTTGCGTCAATGAAGAAATGAATGAGTCATTTGATTTATGAACTGAATAACAAAAGATAGGTAGAGTTTAGTTGACAGTGAAAAGTAAAAAAGACATTGTAGAACAAGAGAAAATGAGTCATTTAGATTTGACGTTAATGTTCATGTCACTGTAAAGAGAAAGGTTTCCTTTAGGAGATTTTGTGTTGAAAAAAATCACATAAAAATAGTTGAATAGAGGGGCTTGAGAAGCTAAAAAAAAGCCTAAAATTCTAGTGAAATAGAAACATCTCTGAAAACTCTCCCTCTTCTATTGGTAAACTTCACTGATCTAAGAAAAATGTGAGTAGACTTATTTTGCATGAGTTCGATATAAAATGAATCATTTTTTCACATCCAAACTTTATATCCCATGTATTTGTTGAATTTTAGATTTTTAAATGGTTCCTTTTATATCAGGCAGTGTCTTTAATGTTTCTTATGTATTACAACCAACTAATGTCCATATGTACATATATACATCCGTACCCACAGACATCCCTCACATACATATAAGCCCCTTTTTATATGGCAGAGGCAATTTCATTTAATGATGGCAATGATGGATAGTTACACATTCACAATGGATTGCTTCAATACCTGCTCATAATCCTACAATATTAAAAAGAATCCCTTAACATTTACTCTTGATGCTCTTTAGAAAGCAAATATATTTCTGTTCCTGCATAAAATGTGCTGTATTAAAGACTTAGATAAATTACACTGACAGTTGCCAATGGTGTCCCCTGCAGTGAATTAAAAAATATATTTAGCATGAAAACAAGGAGCAGATGTTATTTTTACAGTCATTGTTCAAATGGCTCCAGTGAGCTGCATTTTCCCTGTGCTCCTTTGACTTCTCATAGAAAGGATGACTTATGTTTTTTTTTATATCTATGAAAGGATAAACAGGGTGGCAATGGTGATGATAATTTAACTCATAATCATATCATAAACTATCTTTTTGAAGTTGAGTAACAATTCAACAAAACACAAAGAGCTGGCATAGTCTTGAGAACCCTAGAATATCAAAGCTCTTCCTCTAACACTGTGGCACAGAGCTATGAGATCTTATATGCCATATTAGCAAAGGGAGAATCAAGAGGCATCGTGCTGCTTTACATTCCTCATACTTCATTTAGGGTAAGCAATGAGACAGAGGAGTCTTGGGGAAACCCAATGCATTTCTTCAGGGTTAATCTGGAGTGTGTTAAGGAGCCATTATACTGGGCCAAGTGTGTCTTTCAAGAGGATAGACTTGAGGATATAATGAATGATTTCTCCATAACACCAAAATAGAACAGACAGATTGTACTGAGACATTCTAACTTATTTGTAGGGTATGATCCTGAGTAGTGACAACTTTACCAGTCATCTAATGCAGTTAATTTTAAGAAACATCAACAAAAAATGAGAAGGCTTTTAATTCATTTAATGCTTAATAGATAATTATATGGAAACATGATTGTAAGGATTTGTTTCTGATCATAACTTTTCTTTTATGTAAGATATAAAATACGCTGCTATTTGCCTCTTTTCTGCCTTCCAAAACATAACCTACTGGTAACAAATAGCCCTTTCACTTTTCTTTGGACCTTTTCCTTTGGCTGGAATATCTGTATTCTACCGTCTATCTCTAGTACCCATTTCTTCTAAGTGGCTACCACTGATTGCTCCTGAGAGGAAATGCCCAATTCTTCATCTTCATTTCTAATATCTTCATTTTGCAAACTTTGCTAGATTGAGGCTCTGGAGCTGATTGACTTCCATTTTTTTTTTCCCACAGATCCTAACACAATGCATCTGTCACAATGCATGCTTCATATGTATTGCATCCTGACTAACTGATGACTAATTAAATGTAAGATGATTGAATGAACAAATGAATGAATGAAATGTTAATCTAAAATATCGGTATCTCAAAGTGATTTCATAAACATTCTTCCAAGGCAGGAGAAAATATACTGTTTTTATTTAAAACGATATTAGCAGATACTAAATTTTGAGGATCTGATGTGTTATGAGTTGATCGTGTGTGTGTGTGTGTGTGTGTGTGTATGTGTGTGATGTTCCTCAGAAGAATCTTCAAAGGTAGATATTATCTTCCTATCACAAATGAGGGAGGGGATGCCTTAGAGGACTTAAATGGCAATTCCAGTGTCACACAAATAATAAACAATACTAAAATCTATATTTCACATTACTAACTAAAGTGAAAACCCCAAAAGATTTTGTGATATGATTTAGAATAATGATTCAGGGAAAGAACCAAAACTAGAGCCTAGGTCTTCTAAAAATATATATCAATAGAGGTAAAAGACAACAGGATGAGACGTCTTGCATTTTAAGTATAACTGAAATGAGCGACTTGAGATCACAATATAAAAAAGCAATGACTTTTCATTAGAACACATTCACAGAGATATATGTCTCTATCTGTGAATGTGGCTCAAGATGCAGGTTTTTTGTTTGTTTGTTTGTTTTGTTTTGTTTTCCTTTTTGCCTTATTCCCACTCTAAAAAGCAAAGTTCTGGCAGGGCTTGGTAGCTCACGCCTGTAATCCTAGCACTCTGGGAGGCCTAGGTGGGTGGATCGCCTGAGGTCAGGAGTTCAAGACCAGCCTGGTCAACATGGTGAAACCCCATCTCTACTAAAAATACAAAAAATTAGCCAGGCGTGGTGGTGGACGCCTGTAATTCCAGCTACTCAGGAGGCTGAGGCAGGAGAATCTCTTGAACCCAGGAAGCAGAGGTTGCAGGGAGCTGAGATTGCACCATTGCATTCTAGCCTGGGCAACAAGACTGAAACTCCGTCTCAAAAAAAAAAAGAAAAAAAAAAAGAAAGTTCTTTGAACTAAAGATAGGGATACAGAAGAACATCCTTAAATTCTTCACTGCTCAAGACACAGCTAGAGAAGCCGGAGGAGGAGGAGGAGGTTTTCAGAAGCCCGTCCAAGGTCTAATTAGTTTTGCATTTACTCTGGTGCTGTGGGCCAAAAAAGAGCATTCATTCATGTAAAGACGTATTAACTCTTGAAAAGAAAAAAAACTCAGTCATCTTTTGCTTAGATTATGGCTACAGCCTCCAAAACGGTTTCCTGCCTCTACTCTTGCCATTTTATTACCATTTTTCCACAGAGCAGCTAGAGTATTTATTTCAAATTTAAATCATTAGATACTATTACTCCTTCTACTTAAAATTCTCCAACGGCTTTCCATTTTACTGAATGCCCTATTTACCATCCTTGCATGTCCTTTACTGTGCCACTATCTTCAGCCTCTTTTCTTGCCACGCTCCTAACTTGCTAGTCTTCCCAAAATTTATCCAGAGCCAAAATCTTTCCCACAGCAGGGACTTTGCATGCTTATTTTCTTTATCTGGAATGCTCTCCATACCCTTCTACTGGCTAATCTCCCTTCAGATCTCAGCTTAAATAGAAGTTACTCTGGAAAGCCTTTTTCTGAACTCTGTCTCTAAGTATGAATTCACCCATTTAACTCTCACAGAGAACTTCAAGATTTGTTTTCTAGCATTTATAAAAATTTGTAGTTATATTTATTTAGGTAACACTTTACTTTCCCATTAAACAGAAATTCTAAGAAGAAAACATAAGTCTCAGTAACTATTTATAAGATGAATTAATAATTCAATTTAAAATACCCTGGAATTTGGAAAGATTTTGCTCTTTAAATTGGTTATTCTTGTTTTCTAGATTTTCTATGGAACTACTAAATTCACCAAAAGCCAGGGTTAATTGATATCGATATACACCTCCCCATCTTCTTTCCTACTAATTATCTAGTGTCACCGCAACAAGGCTAAAGGATTTGGGAAGACTTTCTAAGAAGAAGGTGATTAAGGCCACATTAAAATTTCAACTTACCCCATCAACAAAATGATGTCTTAATAGGCATTATTTAGTACTTGTAAAACCAATTAAGTATAATGGTATACCCTTAGTAAAAACACCAGAAATTTATCAAAGAGATGAAAGCATCTTGCTAAAAAGGAGGAATGAAGCAGAACTCATTTTTCATGAAGCTGTAAGCCAAATTTTCATTTTTCATATGTTTATTATTTTTAAAACTGTTACTACCATGACTTTAATTACTGAATAAGTACTACATGTATTGTGCACTGAGCATCTATTACATAACTAAACACCTTCAATGACATATCAAGCTATAAAGTACTTTCTCATGAGGAAAAATGGGCTCAGAAATTTCTAGCTGATAAAGCTTAGAACTTCAGCCCTGGTCCATGTATTCCCAAATCCCAAGTTCATTATTCAATTCCTTTAATTATTCTCATGCTGAAATATAGGCCATTGTCACTAAATACAATTTTATATTTTTGTATTAAATTACTGCTGATCATCTATGGGCTATGTAGTAACTTTACCTGCAATATTAATATGATTTGAATTATAATCTCAAAATTTCATAAAATTGAAAAGTTGTAATTTACCCCTTGTATTAGTCTGTTCTGTATTTCGATAAAGGAATTCCTGAGACAAGGTAATTTATAAAGAAAAGAGGTTTATTTGGCTTATAGTTCTGCAGGCTGTACAAGAAGTATGACTCTAGCATCTGCTTCTGGTGAGGGCTTCAAAAAGCTTTTACTCACAGCAAAAAGCTGTGGAGAGCCAGTGAGAGAGAAAGAGAGCAAGAGAGAGGGAAGAAGAAGCCAGGCCATTTTTAACAATATCAGTTCTATCATGAACTAAGAGAGCTGTGGGGCAGTACCAAGCCATTCATGAGGAATCTTCCCCCATTACCCAGCACCTTCCAGTAGGTTGGCCCCACGTCAGGCACTGGAGATATGATTCAACATCAGATTTCGAGGGGATTAATACCTAAACTATATCATCCCTTATATTGCTTTCAACCTAAAGATACGATCATTTATGTAAGTTTCCACAGGGACTCTTTCATCCAAGATAGTTTTACATAAATAAATTGAGAATTTAAAGAAAACTGTATCTGAAAATTTAATTTACATCATTTAATTTAAAAATAAAAATAACAGGTAGAATTGGAACATTATGCCACTCCATTTATTGGACAATGTGTAATATTGACAGTTTAATTTTCACAATACTTATTCAGGTAAATATAAAATTATATATATTTTCTGAATTACTGTACAACACCATAATTCTTTTCTGAGTGTTTTTTAGCCTATGAAATGTATATATTTTTATTCATTAATTAACTTTAATTGAAATTAAGACATAGGCAAAATTTCAGAACTAAAGTCTTATTTTAAACTACAAAATACCAAGTCCATAATGATAGCTCAGAATGCAAAATAATGAGATCAATATTGATTAATGTATCTTTGAGCTAGCATTGATGAGGTCTAGATAAAGTTATGGCAAAAGTTATCACTGAGTATTGAGTCTTTCCGTTTTAGAATGGGTGGATCTGATATCTTTTTTTTTTTTGCCTAAAGCTTTATCTTTTATAAATTATAAAATCAATATATGTTTGTAATAAAAATTTAAACAGCACAACGATATATAACATCAAAGTTCTCTCAATTCTCAGTCTCATCTATAGGTAAAACTGTTGTGATCAGTTTTATCTGTTTTTTATGTATCTGTATAAATGTGCACAACACGCAATATATAAGCACAGTTCTATCTGATATCTGTGTATTTCTCTCACAAGACTGAATCCCACTTTGAATGTCAATCACAAGTAGTAGGTTTCAGGGCTACCCACAACTTTTGTCTTACTTAGCTACAAACCTGAGGTTCCCATGACCCCATTCCCAAGGTTCAATAATTTGTTAGAGCAGTTCAGTTCACAGAACTCAAGAGAACACTTTACTTAGTAATGCCAACTTATTGCAAAGGATATTTTAAATGATACAACAGAACAGCCAGATGAAAAGATACATAGGGCTAGATATGAGGAAGGACTTTGGAGCTTCCACACCTTCTTCACATGTGCCCTGTCAATGTCTTCGCTAACCCAAAAGCTGTCCAAACCTTGTTCTTTTGGTTTGTTGTGGAAGCTTCATTATGTAGGCATGATTGATTAAATTATTGGCCATTTGTGATCAACTCAACCTTCAGCCTATTCTCCCCAAAGGTAAGGGGCCAGAGCTGAAAGTCCAATCCTCTAATCATAAGCTTGGTTCCCTTGGCAGCTAAGCTCTATCCTGAGGATATCCAGGGGCTCCCAGCCATCAGTTATCTTATTAGTATGCAAAAATACACATCATATTGGAGATTCCAAAGGTTTTAAGAGCTGTGTGCCAGAAATGAGCTTAGAACAAATATATGTTCTTATTATGCCACAGTATTACTGGGGGTGATTCCTTGGTTGTCTCAGATTTAATAGGGACTATATCTGGAGCATGAATCATTTCTCCAACCAAACAAGTTCTATTTAATGGAGATGTGGGTGAAATAAATTTGGAGGCATACAGCACAATATCCATTACAGAGGGCGGTAATTTATAGATTTTTAGGGTTATGTGATCAGGAGTGTTAAATAAATGATCATCAATGTAATTAATAGACATTTACTGCTTTTGGAGAAAGAAGCTGAAATCAGGCTATAATAGGTTAGAGAATCAATGAAAAATATATAAAGAAGTGGATGCAGTGATTAGGGATTACTCTTTTAGGAATTCTGACTTTGAATGTAAGAAGAGAAAAAGAGTGGTAGCTAGAGTGGTACCATTATAGATTCATATGGGGTGATTAATTCAAACAACATATAAGAGACAGAATATGTCTGCTATGTTTGAACTAATCGTCTATTTTGTAAATTTGTAAAAGTTAGTTTGCATCACAAGAATGATATAGACAGGAGGCAAAGAAATACTAGTTAGAAAAGGTCAGGGTCTCTGGAGAGGGCTCCACCCTCAAGCCTGGACCCACGGCTGGAAGTGAGAACATACATTCCTATTTTCCTGCCTGAATGTTGCCCTTTCCAAAACCACCCTGGCCCACCTTGTCCCCACTCCCGTACCCATTAAAATCCCCAGTTTCCCCAGGCAGAGCGTCAGAGCAGCAGAGCAGTGCAACAGAGAAGGTGAGAAGTGAAGAAGTGTATGAATGTTGAGAGGAGAAGCAGCTGGACATGGGAGACTACAGTCAGAGAGGAGTTCAGCCGGAGATGGCCAAACTCCAGGGGAAGACCACCTTTCCACTCCATCCCCTTTCCAGCTCCCCATCTCTCTGAGAGCCATTTTCACTGCTTAATAAAATCCTCCGCATTCACCAACCTCCAATTTGTGGGCATGGCCTCATTCCTCCTGGAACCTGACCTCCACTGAGCTGTTTAACACTTAAGCAATCCAGGACAGTAAAGCTAAATGATCCCACTGTAACATACGGCCTCTGGAGCTCTGGGGGTCATGTGCAACCCCTAGAGGCTGCCATGGGGCCTTGTGTAGTTCTACTCCTGCCGGTGCCCAGAAGCAGTCATCCCAGCCTCTGCACCCACTCACCTGCATGCTCTCCCTCCTGCAAGGGGTTTGAGAGTTGCAGTCTGAGTAAGTGAGCCACCCCTTCACATGTCCCATGAAAGCGTTAAGGGAACACTCTCATCTCATCTGGGGGCTCCTCCAGGTTACATCAGAAGGGTGAGTTAAAATGTGGAACTGTCAGATCTTCTCTTTTCCAACACCCTACCATATCCCTCTTTCTTTTGGCTGAAAGGAAAGTTGACTCTGTTTCCCTTCACAGAGGATTATCCATCATGTGGGACCAGGAAAAAGTCCTGGGACAACTGATGGCATCTGGTCCACACCACTCCTTGGTGTTGCCAGAAGGCCCCAAGGCTGAACCTGGTTGGTCCCTGACTGCCTGTCAAGGCGTTGGGCAAAACCCTAGATTTTCCTATGGTATCTTTCTTTTTTCATGGTTCAAAATGGCTCCCATCTCTTCTTGTATAATGATAAAGTTTTTGCTGCAGACTGAGGCAATGATACTAGGCAGAATGTACGTCTGGCCCAGCCATCAGTGGTGCAATTCAGAACAATGTGATTTCCATTTGTTCCTAGAAGTGTGTCCCTGAACCTCACCCCAGTGACTGCAGGCATGTGCATGAGATGGGCAGGCACAGAGCGGTTCCCCTCTCTGCCCCCTCCCCCTCTTTCTAGGGCCTTTGGGTATGTTCGCCACACATATGCACTGCACCCAATGGCCAAGTGGGGCAGGAGTAAGCTGCACACACTGCCTGAGCCCCAGGGCAATCACGGAGGCCAGGGCCCCGGATGCAGCCAGTTGACCAGTGTCTCCTGCTCACTGCTCCCTCCCACCACATGCTCACAGAGCTTTTACTCCCCTGGGTTTGAAGTTGGGGAGGGATACAGTGATTAAAGAAACCTATTTCCACAGAGCAACAGAGCAATAGATTCTTCCCTTGGCAAGGCCCATCTGGGACTTAATCTAAATGAATCTGTGCACCCCTGGGACAACATGTTGTCCCAAACTCAATTCTAAACTTTGAGTTGAAGCTCTAGGGAAAAAAAAAACCATAAAACAACAACAACAAAAACAAACAAACAAAAAACAGATATAAGGGATCCAAAACCAGACAATCAATAGGCATAGTGTAAATGTACAGGACCAATTCCTGCCAATTAAATCTCCGTTTCATGGAAGGATGCCATGCTCCGTGGCATAGATGAGGCCCAGGGAACTGAAAAGTTGTCAACAGTAGGGTGTATGGAGGCATAGGTTAGTGTGGATAATTCCTACTCTCTAGGCCCTCCCTGCTTCATGGGTGCAAGCCGCATTGGCACTCATAGATGGCACCTGCCAAGGTCAACAGCACTTAGGGATAAAAAGATAAAAAAGAAAGGGGAATGCCAACTATATCTTCATCATACCATGAGTTATCACTGAAAGAAGGAAGGGGAATGAGGGACGCCTATTTCCCTTTCAGAATGGCCAACCAGCTATCTTCACCACCCGCAGCTTATGATCCTCTGGAGTGTATTGTGAATCACTGGGACTGCTTTGACCTTCACACTCTGGAGGAAAAACACCTCATAGACCTCTGCACCAAGGCTTGACCAAATTATGATTTACAGGAAGGACTGTCTCGGCCTCAGGAAAGAACCTTTCATTTCAATACCATCCTGCAGTTGGACCTTTTCTGTAAACATGAGGACAAGTGGTCTGAGGCCCCATATGTGCTGACTTTCTTTACCTTGAAGGATAATCCAGACCTTTGCCAATAGTGTAGGATTGATCCAGCCCTCCTGTTTGCCATTTCAGGAGAGGTTGCAAGGGAAAATCCCAGGAAACTAAAGAAACTAATCCCAGAGGCACACCCAGCAGGAGAGCCAGCTCCCTCCAGCCCTGTTCCTCTGTGTCCACTCCATCCTTCCTATCCAGCTTCATTCTCATGCTTGCCCTCTCCTAGAAATCCTCATTCTAGACAAGCCCCAGTCTCACTCTTGCCCTCCAAAAGATGCCTGGTGAATTTGGCCCCAGTAAGGTCCAGGTTCACTTCTCTCTACAGAACTTAAGTGAAATTAAGGGAGATCTTGGCAAGTTTTCAGATGACCCTGTCAGATAGATAGAGGCTTTCCAGAATTTAACCCAAGTATTTGAACTATCTGGGAAAAACATTATGTTACTTTTGAATCAGACCCTGGGGAACTCTGAGAAGCAGGCTGCTCTGAAAGCACAGAGATTTGGGGGTGAGCTTTGCATCACATATAGCATCAAGGAAAGGACTGAACTGTATCCACCTGGAGCAGAATCAGTGCCAATGCATAACCCTGGATGGGATCCCAGTGACAAGATGAGAGAATGGAAAGGGAGACACTTTCAGGAGTGCATAATAGAAGGCCTATGCAGGACTATGACCAAGCCTCTCAAATATACCAAGCTATCCATTATAGACCAGGGATTAGATGAGAATCCCACTATCTTCCAGGCCTTGGTAAAGCATGCCTCTCTATTTCCCGATTCAGTCAAGGGACAACTGACCCTAAAGGATAAATTTATTACTTAGGCAGCCCTGATATCAGGAGGGAGCTGCAGAAACAGGCCCTGGGACCAGATATTACTTTAGAGAACCTTCTGAAAGTGGCCACCTAGATCTTTTATAATAGAGATAGGGAGGCCCAGGAGAGAGAGAGGATGCACAGGAAAGAGACAGAGGCTTTGATGGCCACTAGGCAAGCCCACAAACCCCAGAATTCCCAAGGTGCACCTGCTAATTGCTACAGATGAGGGTAGCCAGGGCATTTTAAGTATTTCCCAGGCAGCA
The DNA here is from genome assembly GCF_000001405.40 of Homo sapiens. Lineage (NCBI taxonomy): Eukaryota > Metazoa > Chordata > Mammalia > Primates > Hominidae > Homo > Homo sapiens. Next base: position 166,999,496 of record NC_000003.12, on the reverse strand, counting down.
GGAGGAAGCAACCTTGACCCTGTTTAATCCACAGTGGGGATCACTGGAGGATAGACTGTCCCTCAGAATGCTGGTAACTGGCTCCAGAACAAATCTCCCAAATGGTCCAGCAGCAGAACTGTTGGATCCTGGGGCTCCTCTCCCCAGCTCTGGTGGTCCAGACCACCACTACCATCCAGAAGGCCTGAGTAATTCTGGAAATCAAAGAGAGGAAAGTGAACCTTCTTTTGGACACTGGGGCTTGTCTCTTGGTTGTCCTCTCCATCCAGGCCCCCTCTCCTCCCTTAGCACAACTGTGAGGGGAATCTCAGGAAGGCTTTTAACCTGATATTTTCCCCAACGCATTAGTTGTAGGTGGGGAGACCTTTTGTTCATCCATTCATTTCTAATTATTCCTGAAAGCCCAACTCCTCTGTTGAGCAGGGATATTCTGGCCCATATGGGGACCACCATCCTGATAGTCCAAGGGCAAACTCTTTGTCTTCCCCTAGTGGAGACCTATATTAACCCGGAAGTATGGGCAATTCAAGGGAAGAGAAGATTGACTAAGCCACAACCACCACAATGATCTGGATCCACCTTAAGGATCCCATATCCTTTTCTAACCAGAAACAATATCCCCTGAAATCAGAGGTTAAGAAAGGACTAGAAGCCATCATTGATTGATAACTTGAAGATGCAGGGCCTCCTTAAACCCTGCAACAGTCCTTGTAATACCCCAATATTGGGGGGTACAAAAACCCAAAAGGAAATGGAGCCTAGTTCAGGACCTCCACCTTGTTAATGAGGCTGTGGTTCCAATACACCTGGTGTTTCTAAATCCGTATACTCTGCTAGCTCAAATACCAGAGGTAACCAAATGGTTCACAGTCCTGGACTTAAAAGATGCCTCCTTATCCATATCATTACACCATAACTCCCAGTATTTGTTTGCATTTGAGGGTCCCTCTAACAAAACCACCCAGTTAAACTGGACAGTGTTAACTCAGGGATTCCAAAACAGACCCCACTTCTTTAGGCAGGCATTGTCAAGAGACCTCTCCAGGTTCCTTTATCCTTGTGTTATTGTATTATAGTATGTAGATGACATTTTCCTGTGTGCCCCAACTAAGGAAATCTCTCAAGAGGGCAGAAGGTTCTTAATTTTCTGGCTAACAGAGGATATAAGGTTTCAAAATATAAAGCTAAGCTTCATCAGACTTCAGTGAAGTACCTGGGCCTGGTCTTGTCAGAGGGGACCAGGGTGATGGGCAAAGAAAAGATTAAGCCCATCTCTTCCTTTTCCCTCCCCAAAACCCTCAAGGCAACTGAGGGGATTCTTAGGCATTATAGCATTCTGCATACTATGGATTCCTTAGTATGGTGAAATAGCTCATCCCTTATATAACCCAATAAAGGAGACTAGGACAGCTAAAATTTACTCTCTAATTTGGAAACCAGAGGCTAGAAAAGTCTTTGGCCAACTAAAACAAGCCTTGCTTAAAGCACCAGCCTTTAGTCTCCCCTTAGAGAAAACGTTTAATCTTTATGTGTCAGAAAGAAAGGGAGTAGCACTGGAAGTTCTAACACAGGCCTTTAGTCTCCCCATAGAGAAAATGTTTAACCTTTACATGTCAGAAATAAAGAGAAGGGCACTGGGATTTTTAACACAGGCCCAGAGTCCTTCTCAGAAGCCTGTAGGCTACCTAAGTAAGGAGCTTGATTTGGTAGGCAAAGGGTAGCCTGCCTGTGTCCGGGCAGTTGCAGCAGTAGCCTTGCTGTACCAGAGGCTACTAAGTTAACCATGGTGAGTAACTTAACCATTTATACCCCTGTATAATGTGGCAGAACTACTGTCTTCTACAGGGATTCTCTGGTTAACAGATATCAGGTATCAAGCTCTGCTATTAGAGAGACCTGCAGTCCAGTTAACAATCTGTGTCTCCTTAAATCCAGCCACCTTCCTCCCAGGGGAAGCCAGGGATCTTGAACATGACTGTGAATAAATAGTAGTAAAAACCTATGAGGCTAGGGAGGACCTCAAAGAAACCCCCTTAGAGAACCCAGACTGGATTGTCTTTATGGATGGAAGTTCTTTTATTAAACTAGGGACCCATAAAGTGAGATATGCAATAGTTGCCCTGAATGATATTGTTGAAAGCATATGATATGGTTTGGCTGTGTCCTCACCAAACTCTCAACTTGAATTGTATCTCCCAGAATTCCCATGTGTTGTGGGAGGGATCCAGGGAGAGGTAACTGAATCATGGGGGCTTGTCTTTCCCATGCTATTCTCATGATAGTGAATAAGTCTCACAAGATCTGATGGGCTTATCAGGAGTTTCTGCTTTTCTTCCTCATTTTTCCTCATTTTCCTCATTTTTCTTGCTGCCACCATGTAATTAGTGCCTTTCACCTCCTGCCATGATTCTGAGGCCTCCCCAGCCATGTGGAACTGTAAGTCCAATTAAACATCTTTTTCTTCCCAGTCTCGGGTATGTCTTTATCAGCAGCATGAAAAATGGACTAACACAGCACATCTCTCCCTGGGCACAAGTGCTAAAGTAGCTGAACTAACTACCCTCACGAGGGTGCTCAAATTAAGCAAAGGAAAAACAGCATTTATACTGATTCTAAGTATGCTTTGCTAGTCCTCTATGCCCATGCCACTATCTGGAAAGAGACAAACTTCCTCATGGCTAATGGGTCTCCCATTAAATACCATCAGGAAATTAATAAACTATTATCCTCAGTTTTCCTCCCACAGGAAGTGGCAGTAATACATTGTAAAGGCCACCAAAAAGAGATGGATGAAATAGCTGAGGAAAATAGGCAGGCAGACCAAGTAGCTAAATCAGCAGTGAGAGAGGCCCAAATTTCTGACCCACTTGAAGCCCCACTGATCTTGGAGGGTCCCATCAGATAAATAAAACCTCAATATTCCCCTGTGGAAATAGAATGGGCTACCTCTTGGGGATACATCTTTCAGTCCTCAGGACGACTACAATCAGGATGGCAAGCTTCATCTGCTGGCTACTGGCCAATGGAAAGTTCTTAAAAGGCTTCATTAGGCCTTTCACCTAGGTAGGGATAAAACCTGTCAACTGCCCCAGAGACTGTTCTCAGCTAAAAACCTGACACAAACTGTTTAACAGGTCATTAATGCTTGGAAGACTTGCCTTAAAAATAATCTCCTTGGCCGGGTGCGGTGGCTCACGCCTGTAATCTCAGCACTTTGGGAGGCTGAGGCGGGTGGATCACAAGGTCAGGAGTTCAAGACCAGCCTGGCCAACATGGTGAAACTGTGTCTCTACTAAAAATACAAAAATCAGCCAGGCATGGTGGCAGAGGGACTGTATGTAATCAGGGTTCTCTTAGAGGGACAGAACTAATAGGATATGTGTGTGTGTGTGTGTGTGTGTGTGTGTGTGTGTGTGTGTATGGGAGTTTATTAAGTATTAACTTACATGATCGCAAGATCCCACAATAGGCTGTCTGCAAGCTGAGGAGCAATAAAAGCCAGTCTGAGTCCCAAAACTGAGTGTGATATTTGAGGGCAGGAAGCATTCAGCACAGGAGAAATATGTGGGCTGCAAGGTTAGGCCCTAGGCCCGTCTCATCTCTTCACATTTTTCAGCCTGCTTTATATTCACTGGTGGCTGACTAGATTGTGCCCACCCAATTGGCCTTCCCCAGCCCACTGACTCAAATGTTAATCTCCTTTGGTAACACCCTCACAGACACACCCAGGATCAACACTTGCATCCTTTAATCCAATCAAGTTGACACTCAGTATTAACCATCACGGGGACCTCAAGCTAAAGATTACAAAAGATAAGTGTTAATAATTAACCTTCCATGGATATCCTTTTTATAGTCTTGCCTATGCTTTCTGTTCTTATCTTCATTCTGTTCTATACCACGAGGCACAATACTGTTTTCAGAATAATTGCTATATTTTCTTTCTTATTTCTACAATTTGGCACTAGATTCTGTCCTTGTATAATACACATGTTTAACTCACGCACACTTAACCTTGTAAAACTTTTATTTATTTATTTATTTATTTATTTTTGCTCTCTCATATAGAGACCATCAAATGCCAAATGGTCAGGCAACTGGAGCCTCAGATGATGGCTCCCTTTTGCTGGGGACCCTTAGGTAGACCTGTGCAAGGAATCTGATTGCCATTTTCTCAAAAACAGTGCCCCCAGTTAGCAGAAAGTAGCTAAGATTGGTTGTTGTCCATATTCTAATGGCAGTTAGATGTGCCTTTTCAGATGGGGAAATGATACAGAGAGGAGGTAGGGAAATAGTAGGTAGAAAAGGACAAGGTACCTGGCAATGGCTCCACCCTCAAGCCTGGACCCCTGACCCTAAGTGAGAGCATACATTCCTGTTTTTCTGCCTGAATATTACTTTTTCCAAAATCACCATAGACCATCCCACCCCTCATCCTGTACCCATAAAAAACCCAGTTTCCATGGGCAGAGTGGTGGAGCATTGGAGTGGCATGGCAAAGAAGGAGGGAAGAGAAGAAGCACCTGAACATTGAGAGGAGAAGCAGCAGCTGGATATAGGAGACTACAGTAAGAGAGTGGTTCATACAGGAATGGTCTAAGAGGAGTTTGGCTGGGGACAGCTGAACTCCTGGAGAAGAACACCTTCCCACTCCATTTCCTTTTCATCTCTCCATCCTGCTGAGAGTCACTTCCACTACTCAAAAAAATCCTCTGCATTCACTACCCTCCAATTTGTTTGCATGGCCTCATTCTTCCTAGATGCCAGACGAGGACCTGGGTGCGGGTACAAGAGGCTGTCACACTGACACTCCACGAGCTGTTTAACACTTAAGCTGTCCACAGACAGCAAAGCTAAAAGATGGCTCCTCCAGGATTCTGGGGATTCTGGGCAACCCCTAGATGTTGCCATGAAACCACACAGAGTTCTACTCCCGCTGCTGCCCAGAAGCACTTATCCCAGCCTCTGAACCCACTCACCTGAATGCTCCCATTCCCACAAGGGGTTTGAAAGTTGCAGGCTGAGTAAGACAGCCACCCCTTCGCAAGTCCCATGAAGGGGTCAAGGGAACTCTCTTGTCTCAGTAAGATCTTGGTTTAAGAAATATTTATGGTAACAAGTGAGTACATTACTATAATGTTAATACTGTTAAAATCTTCATTTCAACGTGAACGTGGATTGAAACATCATGTCTTTAGTTTCCTTCTGAGAAAATGCGATAAGATTGCTTTTTTTCTCAAGCATCTTGGAATAACTAAATATGATAATGTGTATAAAGTTCCTAACATAGTCTTTGTAGTAGTACTCAATTAATGTTTTTCTTAACCACATATCTGTTCTCTGAGTCTAATTTATTAAAGATAATAAGCTAGATTATCTTTAAGATTTAAAAATAAATTATTCTATGATTTTCATTAAAAATATGTTTAAGAACAAATGAAATTACATCAGATGAGAGGCACAATTTGAAATCATCTCACTCTAGAAGCAGAATAGATTCCTGTTACATCTACTGTTTTTGGGTTTACAAGTAGCTTTGTTAGCCAGAGTTTCTTATGATCTGTGTACTGTGTATATAAGGTCCAAGCATCTGTGAGTTAATGAATAGGAAAAAGTATTGGTTGCATTTAAGACATTCTTTCTTTTTATTTATATTATATCCTTGTTTTGATCTTGGGCTGTCATTATTACACAATGTTTGCCAAGTAATGGAGGTGTTTGCATATATTTATTTATTTAGTTTTATTTATTTATTTCTGTTTGAGACAGAATCTCACTCTGTCAACCAGGCTGCAGTGCAGTGCCATTATCACACTCCCTGCAGCCTCAACCACCTGGGCTTAGGTGATCCTCCACCTAGCCTTCCCAGTAGCTGGGACTATAGGTACGTGCCACTGCCAGACTAATTTTTTTTTTTTTCAGAGACAGGGTTTTTCCATATTACCTGAATTGGTCTTGAACTTCTGGTCTCAAGTAATCCACCCTCCCTGGCCTCCCAGAGTGCTGGGAGTACAGCCATGAGTCACTGTGCCTGGCCCCATTTGCATATATTTATAAGAAATTAAAGATTTATGTTTCTCCAAGAAATTCACAATCGGCAGTCTCCTATGCTATAAGTGTAATATCCTGTGGTCTTAAGTCAACATACAATATACTATTTTTTTTGAATCACCCCTTTTCCTCATATATTATCACAAACATCTTGCATATGAGATCTGTAATGGTCACTGTATATTATTATAAAGTTAATGCATCTTAGGATCATTCTGGTTTGTGTTGTATATCATCCTAGGCAGAATTGTCAGCTTTGTGCTTGCAGCTGCTCTCAATCTGTCATCATAAATGATAAATGAGCATTGGAGTCTTATTTTCTATTGTACATTATTGTCACTATAAGAATGCAAGACCAGCATATCTTGGTTTTCTCACAAGCCCCTTTATGATCATAAGAACTTTACTAGAAAATCAGGGAACCTTACATTTCTAACTAAATAAATGATATTGTAAATCTGCTAAAGTTTTGGCTCAATACCATCAGAATTTAAACTAAAGCTTGATTTTGCTATATAGATCTCAATTAATTATTTCAATTATTTTTAATCTCTATGATTCTTGGTCTCTGAAGTACAACTGACAGAATTTTTCAAATAGATATTGTTGAACATTTGTCAGCAAATATAAAGTAGATAAATGTTTGGTAACATAGATCTCTCACATTTCTGCATGCATTGTGAGCAAGGCATTATTATTCTGTTTGTTCTGGGCTATTTTTTCAAGGATTTTTGTATGGTGAACAGTCTTGGAAGAAAAAATTATATCTCCTTTTAGAGGGAAAGACAGGTGTGCTCACGGTTTGAGAGACAAAGATATGTCTCATGCCAAAGCAAATATTATGAATGCTTATTGTCCAGTATAACAAAAACAATGTCTTTTCTGGAGCACAGAAAGAGGCATGTTACTGCCCAGTTTCAAAATTTGGGGTCTCCTAAACTCTGGATTCTTTTCCTGTAATGCAACTCACTGAGAGCCCAGGCATCTATCTGGACCTATTTGCTGTTCCTGAGAACTTGAGTGAAAATGTTGGAAATACATTGAGGCTCATGCTGCTTACTGTGCCATGAAAAATAAAGTCCTTTGTTTCTGACCCTGCGCTCTTATTTTTTTCTGCCAGTTTCTTCCATGAAACATTGGTAACTTAACTTGTTAGGTTACAGGTAGATTAAAATCAAGCCCCTTTACAATTTCTGACAATCTCTGTAAGAAAAAAAAAAGAGGGTTCTGAGGATATCAATGGAGAATTTGTTTTAAGAAACCAAATGCAACAAAAACAAACACAATATATACTTACTTATAGTTGTTTCCATCCCATTCTCAATTTTTAAAAATTTATTTGCCAGTAAGTTTTATGTAACATAAAATATATTATATTGCTGAGAGAAGAGCAGCATCAATATTATCATGGATGAGATTAAAATTTTTGGACCAAATATTAAGATATTTCTTTAGAAACCAGAATTAATTTGTGTATATATGTGTGTATAATATTTATTATTCTAAGTGACATTTATTTCAGAGACATGTAGATAATAGTTAAAATGGTTACTAATAAATAAAATGTATTTAAGCTTATGGGCAGAAAAGTACATTCTAGGCCTTCTTGAAATGAAATTGGCCAGACTAGGTACTAGACTAGAGGTGGAAAATTCTATATACTAATTTTAATTTAATGGACTATTAGTACTTTCCTGAAAGGTTATATGACTGAAATTATACTTTGATATATATGTAAGAGACTGTTTGTTTACTTAATAATTATAGGTAACTTCTGGTGCTGCTTTTTTGTTTTGTTTTGTTTTGTTTTGTTTTGTTTTTTGAAGACAAGTTCTTGTTCTGTCACCCAGGCTTGAGTGCAATGGTGCAATCATGGCTCACTGCAGCCTTGACCTCCTGAACTCAAGTTCCCTGGGTAGCTGAGACAACAGGCATGTGCCACCATGCCTGGCTAATTTTTGTATTTTTGGTACAGATGGGGTTATACCATGTTGCCCAGGCTGCTCTCCAAATACTGGGTCAAGTGATCAACCCATCTCAGCCTCCCAAAGTGCTGGAATTAGAGGCATGAGCCACCGCACCCAGCCCTGCTTTCTATTTTCAATAGAACCTGAATTCTAACTCAATATTCTACTGTCCTTACATGGGCATGCACTTCACTAAGCCTTGGTGATTTTATTTTCCTTGCAAAATTGTAAATAATAATAGTATTCAAACCGTCCTTTTAAAAGAATCACTGTAAAATTTTTTATTTATGAAAACCCTTAATGGTCTTAATATTTAAGACAATTTTAAAAATATTTGTATTGTCTTAAGCATAGATGTAGACAATGGAACGGAATTTTGCTGCTAGAACTGTTACATGTGAAAGAGATCCTGGTTACCCTGAGTTACGGGCTGCGTTGTAACCGTGCAGCAACTTCAGCCCTTGCCTCCTCAGAAGAAAGAATTAGACTGAGGCACATAAAGCAGAAAAAGAGATCAAGGCAAGTTCCAGAGCAGGAGTGGATGTTTCTTAAAAAGACTTAGAACAGTAAAGAAAGGAAAGGACCCTTGGAAGAGATGCAAGTGGGAGTCTGAAGGTCAAAGAGAGAAAAAGATGGGGCATTTAATCTTGATCCTAGGACTTTATAGTCTCACCTCTTTCCCATGATTCTTCCCTTTGGGTGGGCTTTCCATATGTGCAGTGCTCTCCTTGGCCTTGGTAATTGAGCACAGCAGTGTGTTTAGAGAGTTATAGACATGACCATCTAAGGCTTTCTTCCTTTTTCCAGTGGAGCGTCCCCAGATCATCCTTTGCCATTTTTGTCGCTTAATATGTGTGATGGTTAATACTGAGTGTCAACTTGATTGGATTGAAGGATGCAAAGTGTTGATCTTGGGTGTGTCTGTGAGGGTGTTTTCAAAAGAGATTAACATTTGAGTCAGTGGGCTGGGAAAGAAAGTCCCACCCTTAATCTGGGTGGGCACAATCTAATCAGCTACCAGCCCGGCTAGAATATAAGCAGGCAGAAAAGTGTGAAAAGAGAGACTGGCTTAGCCTCCTAGCCTACATCTTTCTTCCATGCTGGATGCTTCCTGCCCTCGAATATTGGACTAAGTTCTTCAGTTTTGGAATTCAGACTGGCTCTCTTTGCTCCTCAGCCTGAAGATATCCTATTGTGGGACCTTGTGTGAGTTAATACTTAATAAACTCCCATAAATATATTGTATATATATACATATATATAATAAAAATATATATATTCTCTCTCTCTCTCTCTATATATATATATATTCTCTCTCTATGTATATATATTCCATTAGTTCTGTCCCTCTAGAGAACCCTGACTAATACAGATTTTGGCACCAGGAATGGGTCTAGAGGAACAGAATATTAAGGATGGAGTTATTTTGTTGGCTTTGGGGTTTATGGAGTTGACTGCTTAATATGATTAGACCCCAATATGCTAAGGATTCTACTTCTAATAGTATGGAGAACACTGATAGTCCTTGGCATGCACTATTTAGAGAGTTATGCAAAATAAATGCATTTGACACTCCTGTTTCATCGCTCATGAGAGGCAAAGAGTTTAGTGACAATATACACAATACCTTCGACCATATATGCAGAACCATGGAACATAATGAAGTTAGTTTGTTGCTCCTAGGCTCAGTGGACAACATGGTAAAAGAAAATGATGAACTCAAGGATTCTATCTATCTGCCAGCTTCAGAAGCAGATACTGAGCCTCAAATCTGCTAAGATTGCCCTGAATGAGAGTCTTATCTCCTGTAGACAGCTGAAATTGTGGAAGAACAGACACAAGCTCTTATTATGTGAGAGCTGAGCTGCAACAAAAGTTACATGCACAGCCTTGCCAGGTGTGTACTGTTAAAGTGAGGACATTGATTGAAAAAGAATGGGACCCTGTAACTTGGAATGGGGATGTGTGGGAGGACCCTGATGAAGCTGGGGACACTGAGTTTGTAAACTCTGATGAACCTTTTTTGCTAGAAGGAACAGCTTCTGCATCCCTAGTACTGGCAAAATCCCCTCCCCAACCCATGCTGCCATCAGCCTTTCCACCGTTGTCTGAGGAGATGATAAACCCTGTGCTTCCTGAGGCAAATTGATGGCCTCCTCTGAGGCAGTTGCCAGGCAAGATAATGTTGATTTTTTTCAGGAGCCACCCCCAACACCCCTGTTTGCCTCTAGACCTATAACTAGACTAAAGTCCTGGCAGGCCCCTAGAGGTGAGATTGAGAGTGTAACCCAAGAGGATGTGCACTACACTTGAAAAGAACTGCTTGAGTTTTCTAATTTATATAAACAGAAATCTGGAGAACAGACATGGGAATGGATATTAAGGGTGTGGGATAATGGTGGAAGGAACATATGGTCATTTCCCCACTACCAGAATGCATAATTGGCATAGACACACTAAGCAGCTGGCAGAAACCCCACACTGGCTTTCTGACTGGTAGGGAGAGGGCTATTATGCTGGGAAAGGCCAAATGGAAGCCGTTAGAGCTGCCTCCACCTAGAAAAATGATAAATCAAAAACAATATCACATCCCTGGAGGGATTGCAGAGATTAGTGCCATCATCAAAGACTTGAAAGACTCAGAGGAGGTGATTCCCACCACATCGCTGTTCAATTCTTCCATTTGGCCTGTGCAGAAGACAGATGGATCTTGGAGAATAATAGTGGATTATCATAAGCTTAACCAAGTGGTGACTCTAATTGCAGCTGCTGTACCAGATGTGGATTCATTATTTAAGCAAATTAACACATCTCCTGGTACCTGGTATGCAGCCATTGACTTGGCAAATGCCTTTTTCTCCACTCATGTCTACAAGGCCCACCAGAAGCAATTTGCCTTCAGCTGGCAAGGCCAGCAATATACCTTTACTGTCCTACTGCAGGGCAATATCAACTCCCCAGCTTTGTTTCATAATCTTATTTGGAGAGACCTTGATCGCTTTTCACTTCTGCAAGTTATCACACTGGTCCATTACATTGATGACATTATGCTGATTGGATCCAGTGGTGTGTTTCCAGTTGTATGAAGGATAGCTGTATTATGTAAAGTGTAATTATGACCTTTTTATTGTCTTTATTTGAAGATCATGTATTATCTCGTACGGGTTCAGGTTTGACAAGGGGTAGACTTGTGATGGTTAATAGTTAGTGTCAACTTGATTGGAACGAAGGACACAAAGTATTGATCCTGGGTGTGTCTGTGAAGGTGTTGCCAAAGGAGATTAACATCAGTGCAGCAAGAATATAAGCAAGCAGAAAAATGTGAACAGAGACTGACCTAGCTTCCCAACCTACAACTTTCTTCCATGCTAATGCTTCCTGCCCTTGCACATCGGACTCCAACTTCTTCAGTTTTGGAACTTGGACTGGCTCTCCTTGCTCCTTAGCCTGCCGACGGCCTACTGTGGGACCTTGTGATCATGTGAGTTAACACTTAATGAACTACCCTTTATATATATATTCCATTATATATACAATACAATGTACATGTGTAGGAAGTTGTCTCTCCCTGGTGTCTGCCTTTAATTAACACTTTAATGTTAACAGGTGTGGACCATCAGGAAATGGCCTCTCCCTGGTGCAGGCTGCCAATTTATCACTTTTAGAGAGGCAATGTGATAATTGCCAAACCATCACCTGACATTTCTAGTGTGTTGCGGGAAGAGTCCTCTCCTGCCCTGCTCATGCCTATCTATCTACCTATCACAGGACCACCTCTTTTCATCACTCTGTGGAGCCATACATAGGAGTGTTCCATAGAACCTGTCACTGCAATTTGAGGCTTTGTGCCTGGAATTCTGTTTCCAAACTAGAGATGAAATTAAATCTTACATATGAGCCAAATGTGTTTATGCTAGCAGCATGTGCCCAGCATGTCCACATTAAGTATGTTTAAATGATGGTGATAATGGAATTTCAGCATCATAACTAAAATTTCATTTGTCAAATTAGAAACAGAAATATCTTTTATTGATTCTAAAGTGTGCTTTTTATGTGATGCTTTACTATTAAAACTCACCTGGAAATAGCAGGTTGCTGTCTACTATAACAATTTTGAATTTCAAAAACAAAGCAATTTATAATACTTTCCATATTATAGTATAATCTTAAAATAATCACTTATATTAATCTAACCACACTTGGATACAGCAAAACTTTAGATGAGAAAAAGACTAAGATGCTAAACAAAAGCAAAACATCAAACAAGAAACATGCTTATTTTTCTTAGAGCAAATCTTCATTCTGTAAATGATCAAGAAGAAAGCCAGAAGAATTGACTCCAAGCAGAGATAACTAGACTTGCCTCTAAACAAAACAAATTCTGGTTGTGAAGAAGGAAATTAAAGATGCTACCACTTGACATTTTTTTTTTTTTGCATTGGTTAAAGTAATCAAAGTGATATTCTATTGAATGTGAAGAGATGCTGCATAAGTAAACATGGACGATTTAGAACTCTTCATCTCTCATATTGTATTCAATTTACAATCTTGGAAAAAAATCAATAGGCCTTAGTTCTCTTTTTGTCTCCCCTCCTTTCTGCTAGCCTCATGCCATTAATCTGCATTTAATGGGCACAACAGCCTTAGATGCTGTCTTTTAGGTAATGTAGCAGTTCTTTTCTGGAATCACTAATCTCTTTGCTTTAGGCAATGTAGTAACCTCTTCTTTCTTGGAACCCTGTGAAGACCTAGACAATTCCTTAGTTCCTTAAGCCAAAATTATCACTATTATCCACCAAAAACTTTCAGATCAGCTTTGATTTTAGCCCTAAGATATATTTGTAGAAATGAAAGGGAAATATGAAAAGTTTGTGGTACTACTGGCAGAAATGATATAACTAGTGAAAATAATTAAGAAACAAATTGACCATTTACATATTTGCTTCTGTTGAATAATCAGTTATCTATTATGTAGTGCTTATTCTATGATGGGAACTGGATTAAGCACTTATGCATTATCTATTTTATTCACCCAGAGCAACATCCAATTTTTATTTTAAATCTGATTTCATCACTCCTTCCTGAAACCCTCTAATGGCTTTCCATTGAGCTTAGTTTCAAATCAAAGCTATTTATCACAATTATAGCCTTACATACATGGATTGTGTCTAAACCTTTCATCTCTACTTCTACTACATTCTTTCTTGCTCACTAGACCACAGCCTTACTGCCCCAAGGCCCTTCTACTTTGGGGATTTTATACTGCTCCCTCTTCTCAGAACACTTTCTTCAAATTTTTACAGGGCTGAGTTCTCATTATCCAGTTCTCTGCAGTTAGTATCTCCTCAGGGAGGCCAAGGCCTTTTCTCTTGTCAGGTATTCTTGTTAAAATTCTTGCATTTAAATCAGAGGTTTCTGCATCTTTTCTGATGGACCTTGAGGTTTCAATGTCATCTTATTACTCTGGTTAGCAGTTTCCTCTTAATGTATTGGTCTGAGTGGATTTTTTCCCTTTTTTCTGAGTTCAGTTAAGCATGAATTGGGATTTCCCCCCCAGTATTTCTATGTATTTTGAGTGAAAGGGTATTTTAGAATTTGTAACATTCCCTAGGTCCTCATGCCATATATATATATATGCATATCTATTTCCTCCTTCTTTCAAATTTCCTCTTTCAAATACTCAAATTTCCACTACAAGATGCTTTATATTTAGACTACACTTTTTCTAGTTTTAAACCTTTTTTTCCTCAAGAATTAATGCTCTTTTAATGAAGGAAGAAATAAGTGCATTTTTATTATTTACTAGAATAATTCAACTTCTTATTTATATTTTGGTTAAGTATTTACTTTTTAGGCCAGCTCTATAGCAATAACTTTCAGAATGATTGCTTTCTAAATTTTGTCTTATGACGTTAATAGCCTGTCTCTGGGATTCAATGTTTTCCTCCGGAATTTAGTCTGTGTTTTACTAAAGTATATCCAAATTTTTTTTTTTTTCAAAAAAGATGCATGGTGGAGTGTGGGGGCGACTTTTTGAATGGTGTTGTAACTAAAATGCCTTATTTCTTTCTTTCACTTGAATCTAATAGGACATAAAGTTGTAGAAACAAATTGTTCTCCTTCTTTGGGAACTTCTAGTATTCAACTTTACTTACAAGCTTTGTACATTTTCTCTGAATATTTTTAGATTTTAAAAAAAATTCTTTATAGTGTGTCATACATTAGGTATTTCTAGCTCTGCATCTCTTTCTTATTACTCATCAAGTCTTTTCAGTGTGAAGATTTGTTTTTACTCTCCATTTTGAAAAAAAAAAATCTTTTAGGCCAGGCGCCGTGGTTCACGCCTGTAATCCCAGCACTTTGGGAGGCTGAGGCGGGTGGATCACAAGGTCAGGAATCCAAGACCAGCCTGGCCAACATGGCGAAACCCCGTCTCTACTAAAGACACAAAAATTTAGCCAGGCTTACTGACAGGTGCCTGTAATCCCGGCAACTCCGGAGGCTGAGGCAGGAGAATCGCCTGGGCAGAGATTGCGGTGAGCCGAGATCACACCATTGCACTTCAGCCTGGGCAACAAGAGCAAAATCTTTTAATACCTATTGATATCTTTCATCTATTTCCCACATTTTTTCATTCTAAAAGTAATTTCAATCAGAAGTACTTTCTGATTGATACTCGCCATTCTGAATGAATCCTTAATCTCTTAGCTTTCTTATCTATCTTATTTTCCTTAGGTTCCTCAATTTTATCACTGTTCTACTTCACTTTTAAAAGTGAAGTCATCATATTTTAATTGTCAATAATTATTCTTCTGCTTTTTGTTTTGTTTTGTTTTGTTTTTTCCTTTGAGACAGAGTCTTGCTCTGTCAGCAGGCTGAAGTGCAGTGGTGCGATCTTGGCTCACTGCAACCTCCGCCTCCGGGGTTCAAACGATTCTCCTGCCTCAGCCTCCTGAGTAGCTGGGACTACAGGTGCCCACCACTATGCCTGGCTAATTTTTTTGTATTTTTAGTAGAGACGGAGTTTCACTATGTTGTCCAGGATGGTCTCGATCTCTTGACCTTGTGATCTGCCCACCTTGGCCTCCCAAAGTCCTGGGATTACAGGCATGAGCCACCGTGCCTGGCCTATTCTTCTATTTTGAATAACATTTTTTTTCCTTTTTAAAACCAACCAATTCTTTGATTTTCTTTCTCTATTTATTTATAATGAGTAATGACTTTGATTACCATAGGTGGCTTTGTGGTTTTCATATGCCTTTGCTGGGCTTTTCCTTTAATATACGTTTGTTTCCAGGCAGATCTCATGACCTGACAACTTTCACTTCAACAGACAGATGCTCAGTTTTCTCTCCTCCCAGCTGACAAAATTATGAGGCTTGGGTCTGGGGCTGAACCCCCAGTCTACAAGTCCAAAGATTTTCAGGAAAATTAGAGAGAATTTCTCTGTTTTCAGTCCAGGATAAAACATCAGGTTTGGAATAAAGTTGGATGGAAAGAGATTTGGAAGGCTATAGGACCATTTTTTTTTTTTCAACAAGTCACACTGGTTATTTCCCCTCTTCTTTCCTCTTCTGATCATCATTGTACTGGCAGGCTCTCAGGAAAAGGCTGTCAGTGAAAAATGATCCCTATCTTGACTACCATCTTATCACTGGTGGGCTCTGAGATGTCATTGACTATGTTCTAGTATTTTGGTTACTATAATACCATCTGTGTGCTATTTAGAAACCCTTTAAAAGCTTTGCTGTTCTTATAATATATCTTTCCAGTTCTTAGCATTCTCTAAACTGTTCACTATGCTTTCTACAGTCATATAAATAGGACTTGGGGATAAACTAAACTAAAACCAAATTTTTGAGTTCTCTTTATATTTCTAAAATATAATTATTAGGACTCCACGTCCTAAAATATAATTGTATCATAAACCATTAAATGAAATATGGGAATCTAATGTCAAAACATCATATACTAAGCTTTGAAGAATCTTCAATTAATTATCCTTTCAAAGCAAGTATCATAGAAAATGTATCCTGATTTAGAATGTAATAAAATAACAAGTTAATAAAAACTGTGACTCTATATCAAGAAATCAACATTACTCTTCATATGAGGCACTATTATAGTATTTGGACACAAATACTTCCTATGTAACATTAAAAGCTAGTTAAGTTAAAATGAAAATATTTTCACTCAAATGTAATAATATAATTACAATACATAAAACTAGTCTAAATCAGAGATATAAATGGAAAAGTAAAATGTTCTTAAATTACATAAAGGGAAAAAATTAGTGGAGGAAACTCTCATTTTCCTTAATTGGAACAAAAATAGAGTAAGATGTCAGAAATTCAATTAATGTACAGACTTAATACAATTTTAATGAATTTTACAATGTCATTTATTTACCTTGGTATATAGACTTTAAAGTTATTCCAAGAGAATAGAATGGACCATAGACGTAAATTCTGACCAAAGATGAGTAATGAGAGAATTACTCTTTCTTATATAAATACGTTATAAAAGCTAAAATATGTGGTATTTTATTACACCAGAGAGATAATTAAAATAGCCCAGAAATATACTTTATTTTATTCAAGATGCTTTATACATCAACAGAAAAAAAGCCATAATCAACTAGAAATCAGAAAAAATAATTGATATTCTTTATTTCAACAGACAAAAAAGTAAATTACAAAGGAACTAACAAGTTTAATCTAAAAAATGCTGGAAGAACTAGAAAATAATATTTATCCAACCTCTAATGGAAAAAGCCTTTCTATGCTTACAAAAAAAAAATAAATTACAATAAAATAAATATAAAGATTTAATATATTAAAAAGTTAAAATAACGTTGTAAAATATGTGTAGTAATGTTAAATAAATGGTAAGTTATTATCTCTATTAAGACATCATAGAAATAAAAAATAAAAATATATATAAGCACAAAGTATAATAACATAATATTCACTGATAAACTAGCATATGTAGTTAAAATATTCAACACAATCTATAATTAAATAAATGTAAGTAAAAGCCAATTAAGAAGAACATTTAAAATTAATTTTAGTATTTTTAATTGGTTGTTGTGTATGTACAATGACATGCAGGCATTTTTAAGTATATGTTTTTTAGGATTTTGACAAATATGTACACATTTTATATGATTACATAATTACAGTTTCAAAATCTGCATCCCAAATAAGACAAAGATTATTACAATTGTCCCAAAAAGTACTCATGTTCCTGTCTAGCCAACCCCATCTATTCTCCACGATAACAACTATTTTCCTATCGCTATTGCTTAGTAGGAAATTATATAAACAGAAGAAGGTATGCACAACTTTTTTCTTGCTTCTTTCTCTCAAAATAATGTATTAGTAGCTGCTTATTTTTAATTGCTAAATATGATTTCCATTTTATGAGAATAACTTTTTAATATTTATTCCCCTTTAATAACCATTTTTGTTATTTTGTTTACCATTCTGAATAAACTTGCTCTGATCACTTATGTACACATATTTGTGTGTTTTCATTCCTCTTGGGTAAATACCTCCAACTAGAATTTCTGGGTTTATTGTTGGTATATATTTGACTCTATAGGACAGTTCCAAGCAACATATTTTTTTGTTGTTTTACATCTTCAGCAGCACTTGACATTGTCATGTTCTATTTTTTTTCATTTTTGAGATTTTTGAAACAGGGCCTCATTCTGTTGCGTAGGCTGGAGTACAGCTGTACAATTAGAGCTCACTGCAGCTTCGAACTCCTGGGCTCAAGTGATCCTCCTGTCTCACCTCCTGAGTAGCTGAGATGATTGCAGGTACATGCCACTATGCCCAATTAATTAGTTTGCATTTTTCTTATAACTAGCTATGTGCAGCATAATTTCATGAACTCAGTAGCCATTTCTCTATTTTCATTTACAACAGGTATATTACAGAATTTTGTGCAGTTTTTAAATTGAAGTCTGTCATTTTATTATTGATTTGTCGGAGTTAGTATATAATCTAGAAATAAATTCTTTGTCAGACTAACATTGTGAGTATTTAATTCCAGTAGGCAGATGACTTTCTATTTTAAGAGTATGTTTTAAATAAAAGATTATAAGATGTCATATTTATCCACTTTTTGTTTTATGTTTAATATGCTTTGAATTGTAAGAAACATGTCTCCACCCAAAGTTTATAAAGAAGTTCTCTTATGTTTACTTGCAGAAGCTTTATAATTTTAGTTTATACATCTGATTCTACAATCCATATTGAATTAATTGTTCTAAATGTTACAGGTAGGCATTGAAATAATGTTTATTTTATATGTGGATAGCAATTTGTTTCAGCACTGTAATTTAAAATACTATATCTTACCTATTCAATTACTTTGGCATGATTGTCAAAAATTAATTGACTATATCTGTGTGGATGTATTTCTGTACTCTCTATTTGTTCCATTGATGTATGTATCTATCCTTATGCCAATACCACACCAATGTGATTAATGTACCTTTAGAGTAAACCCTGAAATCACGCATAGTGCTTTTCCTCTTTGAATATTGTTATGACTATTCAAAGCTTTTTAAAAAGAAACATTTTAATTTTACAATAGTTTTAGATTTACAGGAAAGTTGCACAGAGGAATAGAGAGTTCCCATATACTCACTCCCCAATTTTTTGTTTACATGGTACATAAGTGCAGTACATTTATCACAACTAATGTACTAACATTGATACCTACATTTTTAACTACGGTTCATACTTTATTCAAATTTCCTTAGATGTATCTAATTGCTTTGTCATGTTTCAGGATAATGTTCATGATGTTACATAACATCTATTTGTTATGTCCCTTTAGCCTCTTGTAGACTGTGATAGTTTTCTTGACTTCTCATGTTTTGGAAAATTTTCAGTTTTTAGACTGCTGGCCAACTAGTTTATAAAATGTCTCTCAACTGAGTGTATAGGATGTTTTCTCATTCTTAGAATATACACATATATATTTAATGTTCTTTATTTGGGATGTAGATTTTGAAGATGTAATCATATAAAATATGTACACACTTGTCAGAATCCTAAAAAACATATATTTTATATATATGAAGGACAGAAAGGTGAAGTGCCATTCTCATCACATTTTATCAAAAACCCATGCTATCTGCATGACATCATAATTAATGCTAACCTTGATTAACTGGATGAGGTAATAATTATCAGGTTTTTCCACTTTAAATTTACCCATTTTTTTCTATCTTTCAATACAGTGTTCTTTGTTTTTTTAAATATTTAACTTTTGTGGGTACATAGTAGCTTTCTATATTTATGGGGTGCATAAGACATTTTGATACAGGCTTGTAATGCGAAATAAGCACATCATGGAGAACGGGGTATCTATCCCATCAAGCATTTATGTTTTGTGTTACAAACAATCCAGTTATACTTTTAGTTATTTTAAAATGTACAATTAAATAATTAATGACTATAGTCACCCTCCTGTGCAATCAAATACTAGGCCTTATTCATTCATTTATTCCATTTTTTGTACCTATTATCCATCTCCACACCACCCCCACCCTCCCTTCTTTCCCCTTCCCAGCCTCTGGTAATCATTGTTCTATTTTCTATCTCTATAGGATCAACTGTTTTGATTTTTAGATCCCACAAATAAGTGAGAACATGTGATGCTTGTGTTTTTGTGCCTGGCTTGTTTTACTTAATATAATTAACTCCAGTTTCATCCAGTTGTTGTCTTAGATTAAAGTCTGTAATCCATTTTGATTTGATTTTTGTATATGGTGAAACATATGGGTCTAGTATATGGTGAAACATATGGGTCTTCTGGTTATGAATATCCAGTATTCCTAGCACCATTTATTGAAGAGATTGTTCTTTCTCCAGTGAATATTCTTGGCACCTTGTTGAAAATGAGTTCACTGTAGGTTTGTGGACTTGTTTTCTGGTTATCTATTCTGTTCCAGTGGTCTATGTGTCTGCTTCTATGCCAGTAACATGCTGTTTTGGTTACTATAGCTCTGTAGTATCATTTGACATCAGGTACAGTGGTTCTTACAATTTTGTTCTTTTTGCTTAGAGTATCTTTGTCTATTCTGAGTTTTTTTTTTTGTGGTTCCATATAAATTTTAGATTTTTTTCTATTTCCATAAAGAATGTCATTGGTATTTTGATAGGGATTACATTGAATCTGTAGATTGCACTGGATAATATGGACATCTTAACAATATTCCTTCTTTCAATCCATAAACATGGAATATTTTTCCATTTTTGTGTCTTCTTCAATTTATTTCATCATTGTTTTGCAGTTTTTATTCAGATATCTTTCACTTCTTTAGTTAATTCCTTGTTACTAATTTTATTTGGGCTACTGTTAATAAGCTTAATTTTTATTTCTTTTTCAGTTTGTTGGCTGTTGGCATACAGAAATGCTACTGATTTTTGTATGCTGATATTGTATTCTTCAACTTTACTGAATTTGCTTAGCAGATCTAAAAGTTTTCTTGTGGAATCTTTAGTTTTTTTTCCAAATATAAGATTATGTCATCGGCAAATATGGACAATTTGACTTCTTATTTTTTAATTTGGATGCTCTTTGTATTTTTCTGTTGTCTGATTATTCAAGTAGGACTTCCAGTACTATGCTGAATAACAGAAGTGACAGTGGGCATCCTTATTATGTTCCAGATTTTAGGGGAAAGGCTTTTAATTTTCCCCCATTTAGTATGATACTAGCTTTGAGTTTTCCATATATGGCTTTTATTATATTATGTTTCTCCTGTACCCAGATTTTGAGAGTTTTAATTTCAGGGAGTACACTTTGAATGAATGTCACTATGTGTAACCCACGCCACTTAAGGGTTAGGAAGTTTTGCTCCACCTTTTTTAGAGCAGATGTTTTAGAAATTTTTGTTTTCATAGAATTCTTAGAATAGAATTGAAAATGCCTCTAAAAAGCCAAATGAAAACAAAACAACAACAAAAAAAAATTGTGATTTCAACTGTGGTGGCCTTGAATTTATAGATAAATTTGAAAAATTAATTTTTATTATAATTTAAGTTTTAGGGTACATGTGCACAATGTGCAGGTGTGTTACATATGTATACATGTGCCATGTTGGTGTGCTGCACCCATTAACTCGTCATTTAACATTAGGTATATCTCCTAATGCTATCCCTCCCCCCTCCCTCCACCACACAACAGGCCCCAGTGTGTGATGTTCCCCTTCCTGTGTCCATGTGTTCTCATTGTTCCATTCCCACCTATTTTTGCAATCTACTCATCTGACAGTCATTAAATCTTAAAGCTCCAGAATAACCTCCTTTGATTCCATATCCCACATCCAAGGCACACTGCTGCAAGGGGTGGGCTCCAAAGACCTTGGGAAGCTCTGTCAGTGTGTCTTTGCAGGGTACAGACCCTATGGCTGCTTTCACGGATTGGTGTCGAGCACCTGCATCTTTTCCAGGTGCAGTGTACAAGCTGCCTGTGAATCTACCATTCTGTGGTCTGGAGAACAGTGGCTCAATTCCCAGATTTCTACTGGGCAGTGCTCAGTAAGGGTTCTCTGTGGGACCCCCAAACCCGTTCTTACCCTCTGTACTGCCCTTGTAGAGGTTTTCTGTGAGGGCTCTGCCCTTGAAGAAAACTTCTATCTGGGAACCCAGACTTTCTGATACATCCTCTGAAATCTAGGCAGAGGCTGCCAAGCCTCTTTCACACTTGAACTCTGCCCCTACAGGCTTAACACCATGTAGAAGTTGTCAAGGCTTACAGACTGCAGCCTCTGCAGTTGTGGCCCGAGCTAAACCTAGAGCCCTTTGAGCTGTGCCTAGAGCTGGAGTGGCCAGGACACAAGGAGGAGTGTCTTGATGCTGGGCAGAGCAGAGAGGTCCTATGCCTGGTCCAGGAAACCATTCTTTCCTTTTCAGCCTTAAAGCCTGCGATGGGAGGGGCTGCCACAAAGATCTCTGAAATGCCTTCAAGGCCTTTTTCCCATTGTTTGGGCTATCAGTACCTGGCTCTTTTTAATCATGCCAGTCTCACTAATAAGTGGTTGCTCCACAGCCTGCTTGAATTCCTCTTCTGATAATGCTTTTTCTTTCTCTGCCACATGGCCAAGCTGCACATTTTCCAAACTTTTACACTCTGCTTCCCTTTCAAATATAAATTCCAACTATAAGTCATCTTTTTTTTGCTCTTGTATCTGAGTGCAGGCTCTAAGAAGCAGCCAGGCCACATCTTGAATGCTCTGATGCTTAGAAAACTTTTCTGCCATATACTCTAGGTCATCACTTTTAAGTTTAAACTTTCTCAGATCTCCAGGACATGAACACAATGCACGGAAGCTCTTTTTTAAAGCATAACATGGGTGACTTCTGCTCTAGTTCTCAATAACTTTCTCATTTCCCTCTGAGATTTCATCAGGGTGGACTTCACTTTATCTACTACTATCAGCGTTTTGTTCACAACCACTTAACCATTCTTTAAGAAGGGCCAAACTTCCTCTCATTTTTATGTCTTTTTCTGAGCCCTCCAAACTCTTCCAACCTTTGCTGGTTATCCAGTTGCAAAGCTGCTTCCACTATTTCAGGCCTTTTTATAGTAATGCTCCCCTCCTGGTACCAATTTTCTGTATTAGCCGTTCTTGCATTGCTGTAAGGGAATACCTGAGAGTGGGTAACTTATAAAGAAAAGAGGTTTAACTGGTTCATGATGCTATAGACATGGCAGTGTGTCCGGAATTGGTGGGTTCTTGGTCTCACTGACTTCAAGAATGAAGCCGCGGACCTTCGCGGTGAGTGTTATAGCTCTTAAGGTGGCGCGTCTGGAGTTGTTCCTTCCTCCTGGTGGGTTCGCGGTCTTGCTGGCTTCAGGAGTGAAGCTGCAGACCTTCGTGGTGAGTGTTACAGCTCATAAAAGCAGTGTGGACCCAAAGAGTGAGCAGTAGCAAGATTTATTGCAAAGGGCGAAAGAACAAAGCTTCCACAGCGTGGAAGGCGACCCCAGCGAGTTGCCACTGCTGGCTCCGACAGCCTGCTTTTATTCTCTTATCTGGCCTCACCCACATCCTGCTGATTGGTAGAGCCGAGTGGTCTGTTTTGACAGGGCGCTGATTGGTGCGTTTACAATCCCTGAGCTAGACACAAAGGTTCTCCAAGTCCCCACCAGACTCGGGAGCCCAGCTGGCTTCACCCAGTGGATCCCGCACCGGGGCTGCAGGTGGAGCTGCCTGCCAGTCCCGCACTGTGCACCCGCACTCCTCAGCCCTTGGGTGGTCGATGGGACTGGGCGCTGTGGAGCAGTGGGCGGCGCTCATCGGGGAGGCTCGGGCACACAGGAGCCCGTGGAGGGGGTGGGAAGCTCAGGCATGGCAGGCTGCAAGTCCTGAGCCCTGCCCCGCGGGAAGGCAGCTAAGGCCCAGTGAGAAATCCAGCGCAGCGCCGGTGGACCGGCACTGCTGCGGGACCCAGTACACCCTCCGCAGCCGCTGGCCCGGGTGCTAAGCCCCTCATTGCCCGGGGCCGGCAGAGCCGGCCGGCCGCTACGAGTGCGGGGCCCGCCAAGCCCACGCCCACCCGGAACTCCAGCTGGCCCTCAAGCGCCCCGCGCAGCCCCGGTTCCCGCTCGCGCCTCTCCTTCCACACCTCCCTACAAGCTGAGGGAGCCGGCTCCGGCCTTGGCCAGCCCAGAAAGGGGCTCCCACAGTGCAGCGGCGGGCTGAAGGGCTCTTCAAGTGCCGCCAAAGTGGGAGCCCAGGCAGAGGAGGCGCCGAGAGCGAGGGAGGGCTGTGAGGACTGCCAGCACGCCATCACCTCTCAGCACTGGCATCTACTTGGCTTCTGGGCAGGACTCAGGGAGCTTTTACTCATGACAGAAGGTGAAACAGAAGCAGGTATTTCACATGGCAAGAGCAGGAGCAATGGTGGGAGGAGGTGCAACACATTCTTAAACAACCAGATCTTGCAAGAACTCACTATCTCACTATTGTGAGAAGTGAAGAATCTATCCCTGTTATCCAAACATCTTCCACCAGGCCCCACTTCCAACACTGGGGATTACATCTCAAAATGAGATTTGGAGGGGACATCCAACCTGTATTACTTGATGTCCGATTAAATTGATTTTTGAATGTTAAACCAAGTTTTCATTCCTGGAAAAAAACTTGCTGCTACTTAGTGTCTTAAACTTTTAGTGTTGTAAATATATTGTCATATTTGACATGCTAACATTTTGGGGTTTTCTATTTTTTTGCACCTAAGTTTATGAATTATATCAGTTTGTAATTTTCTTGTAATATTGTTTCAGATTTTGGAATCAGAATTATAATGGCTTCAAAAAAATCAAATGAGGAATATTCCTTTGTTCCTTATTTGTTTGTTTGATATCATTTTTCATTGGGGAAAACTGGGCCTGAAATTATCTGTGTAAGGGTATTTTAAATTATAAATTTAATTTCTATAACAGCTACATATTTTTAATATATATGTATATTTAATATATGTATATTTATAATATATAATATATATGAAATATAACAAATTATGTTATATTGCATTTTTATTATTTTATTTAAACAATATTAAAAATTTCCTTTGTGATGTCTTTCTTGACTCATAAGTACTATTTTTTAAGTGTATTATTACTTTTATAACAATTTTAAGCATTTGGAATTTATTTACATGCATTTCTTTATATTTGTAATTAAATATTTTTGTGGTTGGAAAACGTGCTCTATATGATTTAATCACATGACATTTATTGTGACTTATTTTACGCCCCAGCATGGAGCTTGGCTTTGTGAACACTCCCTATGAACTTGAAAAAAATGTTTATTCTGTAGTTGTTGGGTGAAATGTTTAATAAATATTAATTAAGTTGGTTCATAGTGATTTTCAAGTCTTTTAAACATTTACTGAATTGAGGACACTCATTTTATAAATTACTGACGTGGAGTGTTAACATTTTTAACTATAATTATATATTTGTCTATTTCTCCCTTTTATTTTTGTTCCTTTTGGTTTTTTGTATTCTAAGCTTCTATTATTAGGTGTATAAAAATTTAGAATTGATTTCTTCATGATGAATTGCATTTTTTATCATTATGAAATTACCCATTTTTAACTCTGGCAATACAACTCACCTTAAGGTCTGCCTTCCTCATATTAGCATAGCTACATCAGCTTTCTTAGGTGTGGTGTTTGCATGTTATAACTTTTTTTCTTTATATTTGAATATCTATCACATATTTTCTAGTATTTTTCTTGAGCAGCACATGTTCATTGTTTTTATTTATCAGGAAGTTTCTTTACTTTTGAACAAAACACTTTTTAAAGATAAAAATTCTGTGTTTTTATTTCTTATTTTTTGAACACTAAAGATGTCCTACTATCTTCAGTTCTACCCTCTATAGCTGTTTTCCTGTGTATTATGTATCTTTTTTCTCTGGCTAATTTTAACATTGTCTCCATAGCTTTATGGTTTAGCAGTTTGGTTTTTCTCTTCTCTTAGGAATGGTTTCCTCTCTATTTATCTTGCTTGTATTCTGGTGAGTTTCCAAAATCTGCGAATATTATCTATCTATTTACAGTATGAAAAACTTTGACTACTGTATTGTTTGTATTTTGACTGCCCTTTTCTTATTTTCATTTTCTTCTAGGACTCCAGTTATACATATATCAGGAAGCTTAATACAATCCCAGAGGTAATCTAGGATCTGCTTTTTTTATTATTTATTTTTTGTTTTTTTTTAATTTTGACTTGAGAAAATACTATTGGCCAACATTTAAGTTTGCTGATACTTTGCTTTATTGTATCTGGTCATCTCTCAATTATAGCTAATGAATTTTCATTTTAGTATTTGACAGGTTTCTTAGTAAAAAATGTAAATTCTTGTTTTTTAAGCAAATTTGAATGCATATAAGAAAATTATTTTAATAAAATACTGTTTTATCTATTTTACCCACTAGGTTTTACTTGAAAAATAGAATTTTATTGATAAAAAATAGAAAACTTCAAATCTATCACAACTCATCAACAGTCTACTCCTTTTATGTATTGGAAGCTTGTCAACTTCTTTTTGGTAGGTTGAAAAAATATGTTATTGTGTCATAATTCTTGCTGTTAGCACTAAGAAATCAATCTTAGTCTAATCATTTTGCCCATCTGAAATCAGTCAACCAGCACTATCCATTCTATTTCTGGAATGCTTTTTAAACCTAAGGCACTTATACAATTCTATCAGCTACTGACTAATTTATCCTTTAAATAAAAATATTATAATAGGCTAATTACTTTTATCTAATGTCAATCTTTCTCTATTCCACAATTACTTTTAAATAATTCTTAAAATGGTTTCTAGATAAATATTTTAAAACTAATTAAGTCATTTCATGCTGTGGTATAAATATTAAGGCTCCCCAAATTAATATGTTACAATCCTAACCACTAAAGTGATGTTATTAGAAAGTAGGGGCTTTTGGGAGGTCCTGTCATGAGGGCAAAGTCCTCATGATTGGGATTAGAGCTCTTATAAAAGAGACTGCAGAGAGCTAGCTAGCTCCTTGCATCATATGAGACACAGTGAGAAGGTACTACCTATGAACAAGAAAACAGGTACCAAAACTTGATACCAAATTTGCCTTATTTTTGGATTTCTCAGCCTCCAAAACTATGATAAGTAAATTTTGTTATTTATAAGATACTCAGCTTATAGTAGTTTGTTGTAGCAGCCTGTGGACCAAGATATTCCCTTTCTTAATATTTAAGCCTACATCTCTTGCATATTTACATTAGTAAAATTTCTAACATATAAGAGGCCATCAATGAACACAAGCTGCTGAAACATCTTAGGAATTCATTGCATGCATAGATCTTCATCAATCAACTGCCCCATCTATCTAGCTTTATCATCCCTCTATATCCCACAGCCTTTGCTCCAGGTCTGTTTATAATTTCCCACACATAACAGATTTTAGAAATATTTATGATTATTAATTTATCACTATGCATAATAACATTGTTTTAGACATTACTTTAGACCACTTATGCTAAACATAATTTAAATTGGTTCATTAAATTATTTTAATTGCCTAATTTGAAAATACTGTTAAAAATAATTGCATAAAGTGATTATTAATAGTTTTTAAATACAAAGATTAATTAAAAATTTCAAAGCCTTGAAGAAACAGTTTTTTCTCATTTTAATTAGAATTTACATGTCTAAGGGTTTACTTGGAAAGTATAATGTGCTTTGGAAGATGCACTTTCCAACCTTAATTATCTACATTATGTTAATTTTTAAAGTTTTATATGGACATTTAAACATTGATGTAATAAAAACAAGATATGAATTTGAGTCATATTTATGTTATTGGTCAACAACATTTATGGAATGCATGATATCAGACATCATAAATAGATAGACAAGACATGCATAATTATTTTTTGTCTATTTTCAGAAAAGTTAAAGTTAAGTTAGAGCTAAGACCATAAACATATGAAGACTGTCTGAGAAGACATGACTGGAAACTGAATAGGGCTGGGCGTGGTGGCTCACACCTGTAATCCCAACAATTTGGGAGGCCGAGGCGGGGGGATCACCTGAAGTCAAGAGTTCGAGACCAGCCTGGTCAACATGGAGAAATCCTGTTTCCACTAAGAATACAAGAATTAGCCAGGCGTGGTGGCAGGTGCCTGTAATCCCAGCTACTCAGGTGGCTGAGGCAGGAGAATTGCTTCAACCCGGGAGGCAGAGGTTGCAGTGATCCAAGATCATGCCACTGCACTCCAGCCTGGGAGACAGAGAAAGACTCCATCTCAGGGGAAAAAAAAGAAAAGAAAAGAAAAAGAAAAGAAAACTGAATAATACTCTATTTTTCTACAATGAATCTAGAAGAAAAAGAAAAGACCAAATATAGGATTACTTGAATGAGGTGAGTTTTAAATGTTTGTGAGGGATGATAGGCATAAAATTGGTGAAGAAAAAAAAAGTCAGTGTTTTGCTCAGGGTGTTATTTTATACCGTGGAGCTTAGCAGGTGATAAATCTCATGTAAGCTCAGCCTAAGTATCTCTTTTCCCCACCCCCAAAATGTACCTTATCAACTAAGTTGAAAATAATTCTTAACATGCTGTTTGCAGCTGGCCAAGCATAGTCTCTCATCAGATTAAATCAAATGGAAAACACAATGAGCTCTGGAATATGAATAGGGCCCAGAGTGTCTGTTTTTTAATCATGCTCAAAATCCAATTGAACCAACATGTACTGATTAAAGTTTCTTTAGGTACCAAGACTTAAAGAATTTTTTTTTCACCAAAGTTTGAGTTTATGGCTTCCTGTTCATGCAGCCTTAGAAATACTAGCCTTGATTTTTTGTGAAATCACAACCAGCTCCCTTCCCAAACAATGGCCAAAGTATCAGTTTTATTTACTTGTGTTTATCCTAATAAACTCTAGCCTTTTTACCTCAGTTCATGGTGGTAACTTGTACATCATTTAATTACTTCTTTTAAATTTTAATTTTATGATTTTTATTTTATATGGATGAGGAGGTAGAAATATAAATAGGAAATAGTTGGGAGAATAGTCTATACGTGCCTCCACTAACATAAATAATAAAATGATTTTGCCCTTTCTTAGTTCTTCAGAGATCTCCCTGGCCATGTCAATTAAGTTGGCCACTCCAAAATAAAACTACACTATTAACCTTTAGAACTACATTCTAAGGTAGGACAGAAACAGTTTTTAGACAGACAGAAATCCTGGGATGAAGGAGAGTTTCAAGTGACATTTTTCTTATAAATAAATAAATATCAGCTAATGTCTTTTTCAATATGGCTGACTAGATACCGGGAATGATCTTCCCCAATGAGAAGAAATAAATGTGTTAAGTGAAACATAAAAAGGCATTGCTGAACTGTTATGGTAATAAGGAATCTGCAGAGACACATTTGTTGGGAAAGTAGGTAAGTGAATGAAAATGAGGAAAGTGATCTCCAAAATCTACTTTTTTTCCTGGAATCTTCTTCCATTTTCTGAGTTCAACTTCATTGTCCTGTACTAGAGATCCACTTCACTTCTCGGGATCCACTCTGATGGCTTCATGGATAACAGATCATAAACTCTAGGACTCATCAAAGGTGAAGTATAGTAAAAAGTCCCTACATTAAAATGTAGACCTCATCATTTAACTATTTAATATATAACATAAGGTACTGAATAGATGAATATTATCCATAATAATTTGAAATTACAATCTGATCCACCTAGGGATTTTTTTTTCTGAATTAAGAGTACCTACAGGATTTTAAAACCTCATTGAAAAAAATTATTAGAAAATGAATTTTTTATATTTACTTTGGACCTAAAGAAGGAGGATCGAAGTATCTGCAGGTGACCTGCTAAACAAATGAAAAGAACCAAAGCAACAAATAGACAAGTTTGAGTAGAGAGTTTGAAGGAGAGAGCTGGAGTGCAGCAAGTGAGTAGTAAAACCTGTGGAACACACAAACCCAGAATGACAGCATAGAGAGAAGAGCAAAGCACCCTGACTCTTCTCCACTATCTCCCTTGCCAGGATCAACCTGGAGCCTGAAAGGACTTTCCTTTGCAGGAAAAAAGTAGGCAGGAGGCCCCCAATATCCTCAATTACCACTGTAGGCACTTGGCAGTTCTTGCTACAGGAGAATTATGCGGCCCTTAAAGTCCCTAAATGCAGTTTGGGGAACTGCCTGGAATTCACACGGTGGCATTGCTCCAGGGTAGGAGCTCATGCTGTGCACTCTCCACTCTTACGACGCAAGCTAATACAGCATGGCACCATCTTGAAACCGGAGTTGCTGCTGGAGCACACTCTGCTCTGTGGGCCAGTAGCCACTGCCTCTGTCCATCTTTAAACTCCACCTTCATTTTACCTTACTAACACAGGTGGCCACAAGGCATGACACTAGCCGCTTGGAGCCTGAGCCCCAAAACAGCTGTGACTTGCATAGCTCCTAAGCACAATGCCATATGCCTATGTCCCTGGCCTGAGAAATAGCCTGACAGAACTTTCCCACTGAGTTCACCCGCAAGCTAGCTGAACCACAGCACACTCATGTCCCTGGAGGGAGAAATAACCTGGTAGAAACTCCCCCAGCAAGCCCGCCCAACATCCCCAGCGAAAGAAACAGCCTGGTGGACTTACACCTAGCAGGCCCGTCCTTGAGCCACTGAACCACTCATTGTGTGTCCATGATCTCAACCAGCAAAACATTGTGGTGAACTCAGTCCCAGTGAGCCAGACCTGCTGACAGCCTGTGTTTATGCTACTGACCTGAAAAAAAAAAAAAACCAACAACCTCACTCTAGCCAAGCGAGTCCATGAACCTGCTGACTTACCATGTGCAGAAATGTGCTACCAACCTGAGAGTCAGCCCAACAAGCTTGTTCCTGACAAAGCAGCAGCACTACTGCCACAAACTCATACAGCCTCATCTACTTAAACACTCTGAAAAATTGCTGATATGGATTACAGCTGAAGAAACTGCACAGAGACTACACTACTACATCCATCCAGAACCAAAGCCCAATCCGCTTCACCCAACTAACATCCTGGAACCCATCTACAGGAATAAGCCTTTTCCTATGAAAGCTACTTCATAAAATTAGAAGAAGTGACTCTTCCACCAGATGCACAGATATCTATAAAGAGACACAAGAAACATGAAAAAGCAAAGAAACATGACACCTCCAAAGGAACTTAATAATTATCCAGTAACAGACCCCAAAGAAAAGAAAATGTATAAGATGCCTGAAAATAAATTCAAAATAATGATCTTAAGAAAATTCCATAAGATATAACAGAAAACAAATATATAATTCAATAAAGTCAGAAAAACAATTTATGCTGAATGAGAAATTCAGTGAAAAGGTAGATATTACAAAAACAAACCAAAACAGAAATTTGGAACTGGAGAATTCAGCAAATTAAATAGAAATAAAATTGAGGGTTTTAACAACAGACTAGAATGAGCAGAATACAAAAATATATATATTTAAACCTGAAGGTAGGTATTTTGAGATAACCCAGTCAGAAGGAAAAAAATAAATAATAATAAAAAAATTGAAAGAGGTTTATGGGACTTATGGGATGCCATTGCACACACACACACACACAAAATCATAACATTGTGGGAATCCCAAAGGGAGGAGAGACTGAAGATGAAGGCACAGAAAACCTATCTGTCAAAATAATAACAAAAAATGTGGCCGAGTGCAGTGGCTTATGCCTGTAATCCCAGCACTTCTTTGGGAGGACAAGGTGGGCAGATCATGAGGTCAAGAGATTGAGACCATCCTGGCTAACACGGTGAAACCCCATCTCTATTAAAAATACAAAAAATTAGCTAAGCGTGGTGGCGCGTATCTGTAATCCAAGCTACTCCGGAGGCTGAGGCAGGAGAATCGCTTGAATCAGGGAGTCGGAGGTTGCAGTGAGCCGAGATTGCATCACTGCACTCCAGCCTGGTGACAGAGCGAGACTCTGTCTCAAAAATAAATAAATAAATAAATAAATAAATAAATAAATAAATAAATAAAAATTTTAAAATGCCAAATCTTAAGAGACAGACAAACATTCAGATTCAGGAAACTCACATGTCCCCAAATAGACTCAATGCTAAAAGGTCCTCTTTTAGGCATGTTATAACCAAACTGTCAGGAAAGAATAGGGTGATAAATTCAAAGTGATAAGAGGAAAAGAAAAAAAAAAAAGAAAAACTCAATAACAAAAATTCTATACCCAACAATACTATTCTTCAGAATTGAAGGAGGAATAAAATATTTTCCAAGTAAAAGCTAAGGAAATTCATCACCACTAGACTGGCCTCGGAAGAAATGCTTAGGGGAGTGCTACTACTGAAAGCAATCTAATAGTAATACAATCATTAAAACAGATGAAGGTATAAAACTCACTTGTAGGGGTAAACTTGTAATCAAACTGTGAATACTTCAATACTGTAATGGTGCTAAGTAAAACTTTCAAATCTGTAGTGTAATAGTTAAAAGTAAAAATGGTAAGAAATAACTACAGCTATAATTAGTTGGTGAGGAATGCACAATATACGAAGATGTCAATTAAATCAATATAATTTAAATTGTGAGAGGAAGAGTAAAACTCGAGAATATTTTTGTTTGATTAAAGTTATTAGCTTAGTCTATTATAACTACAAAATTTTAATGTTATTCCCATAAAAACCACAATAAAAGGAGCTTCAACAAGTACCCAAAGACAAAAACAAATAAAACAAAGCTTAGCACCACAGAAAAGCATCACACCACAAAGCTAAACAACAAGAGAGGAAGAAAGAAACAAAGGATCTACAAAACAATCAGAAAGTCAATTAACAAAATGGCAGGAATAAGCCCTCACCTATCAATAATAACCTTGAATGTAAATAGACTAAACAAACAGAGTGGCTAAATGAATTTTTAAAAAAGACTTAAATATTTGTTGGCTACAAGAGATTCACTTCACCTGTAAAGATGTACATAGATAAGAAATGAAGGGTTTAAGAAAGATATTCCATGAAAATGAAAACCAAAAGCAATCAAGAGTAGCTATACTTACACCAGATAAAATAAACTTTGTGCCAAAAACTGTAAAAAGTGACAAAAAAGGTCATTATATAATAATAAAAATCCAATTCACCATGAGGATATAACAATTATGAATGTATATGTCCCTAAGAAAGCATCCAAATACATACAGAAGGTATTATTAAGTATAAAAGGAGAGACAGACTTTACAAAAACAGTAGGGGACTTCAACACCTCAATTTTCAACAATGGATTATCCATAAAGAAAAGCAACAAAGAAATATTGAATATACACTACACTCTAGAGCAAAAGGACTTGCCAAACATTTACAGAATATCTTATCCAGCAACTGAAGAATACATATTCTTTTCAACTGCATATTGTACATTTTCTAGGACAAATTACTTATTGTGACAAAAAAACAAATCTTCATGAATTTAAAAACCCAGAAATCATATCAAGTACATTTTAGGATCACAATGGTATAAAACTAGAAATCAATAAGAAGAGGAACTTTGGAAACTTTCAAATACCTGAAAACTAAACAACATGCTCCTAAATAGCTAATGGGTCAAGAAGAAATTAAGAGAAACTTAAATATTTGCTGAGAAATTAAAAAAAAATTTGAAACACAGCAGAACAAAACTTTTTGAATGCAGCAAAGAAGTTCTAAGAGGAAAGTTTACAGCAATAAACGCCTACATCAAGAAAGTAGAAAGATCTCTAATAAACAACCTAACACTGCATGTCAAGGAACCAGAAAAACGAGATCAAACTGAAATCAAAAATAGTAGAAGGAATATAAATATAAGAGCATAACAAAATAACAAAATGTAAAGTATCAATAAAGTTTATTTTATAAAAGTAAACAAAATTGACAAATCTTAAGCTAGACTAGCTAAAGAGAGAGATAACTCAAAAAAGTAAAAAATGAAAAAGGAGACAATACAGCCAATACCACAGAAACACAAAGGATCATTAAAGACTATTATGAAAAATTATATGTGAAAAAATTGGATAATCTTGAAGAAATGGATAAATTCCTGGACATATCCAACCTACCAAAAATGACTTGTGAAGAAATAGAAAGCCTAAATCATCAAAAATGGGAAAGTTGAATAAGTACTAAATAGATAAAGAACAACTCCCATCAAAAGAAAAGCATAGGACTTGATGGCTTCACCGATAAATTCTACCAAACACCTAACATTTATTCTAATGAAAACTCTCAACAAATTAGGTATAGAAGGTATGTACTTCAACACCGTACAGGCAACACAAAACAAGTACCACATCTAATGTCCTGAGGAAAAAGAAAAAAGTTAAAACCTTTTTTTTTTTTTTCTAGGAACTGAAACAATTTAATGATGCCCCATTTTCTCACTTGTATTCAACAAAGCTCTGGAAGTTCTGGCCAGAGAAATTAGGCAAGAGAAAAAAATAAAAGGCATCCGAATTGGAAAGGAGGAACTCAAATTGTTTCTATTTGCAGATGACATGGTCTATATATAGAAGGAAAAAAATCACGGGAACTCTGTTAAAAATGACATATGAATCCAATAAAGATGCAGAATATGAAATCAGCATAGAAAAATCACAGTGGTTTTATATGGTAATAGTAAAATATCTGAAAAGGAAATCAAGTAAACAATCTAATTTACAATACCTACAAAATATATAACATGCTCAAAAATAAATTTAATGAAGGAGGTGAAAGATCTCTACACTAAAACAATAAATCATTGATGAAATACATTGAAGAGGAAACAATAAATGAAAATATATCCCATGTTCATGGATTAGAAGCTTTAATATTCTACAAATGTTCATAGTACCTGAATTAGTCTAAAGATTCAATGCATTCTCTATTAAAATACCAATGACATTTTCCCCAGAAATAGAACAAATATTCTAAAATTTATATAGAATAACAAAATAACCAAATAGTCAAAGACATTTTGAAAAATAATAAAAAAAAACTGGAGACATCACATTACCTGACTTCAGAACATACTACAAATCTGTAATAACCAAAAACAACCTTGTATTGGCATAAAAGCAGACACTAATGGAACACAAGAGAGAGCCCAGAAATAAGTCTACACAATAGTGGCCAACTGATTTCAAAAAAGGTTCTAAGAACACACACTGGGGAAAGAATAGTCTCTTTAATAAATGGTCCTGGGTTAACTGGATATCCACAAGTGGAAAAATGAAACTGTACCCCTATCTTTTACCAGATACAAAAATCAACCCAAAATGAATTAAAAGCTTAAATGTAAAAGCCAAAGCTATGGACCTACTAGAAGAAAACATAAGGAAAATGGTTTATAACATTGGACTGGCCAAGATCTTTTGGATAAGACCTCAAAAATATAGGCAACAAAAGCAGTAACAGACAAATGAGATTACATCGAACTGAAAAACTTCTGCACAAAGAAGAAAACAATCAACAGAGTGAAGAGGTGATCTACAGAATAGATGAAACATTTATATGCTATATACATTTGAAAAAGTTTTAATATCTGTAATATATAAGGAGCTCAAACAAATCAACAACAAAAAGTAATGTGCTTAAAACACAGACTAAAGACCTTTATGAAAAAGTGGTCAAGATCACTAATCATAACAGTAATACAAATCAAAACCACAATGAGATATCACCTGACTCCACTTAGAATAGCTATTATCAAAAAGACAAAAGGTAACAAGTTTGGGTGAAGATGTAGAGGAAAGGAGATCATTACCACTGTTGGTGGGACTGTAAATTAGTACAGCCATGATGGAAAACAGTATAAAGTTTTCTGAAAAATTAAAAATAGAACTGTCATATGATTTAACAATTCCACTGCTGAGTATGTATCTGAAGGAAATGAAATGAGTATGTCAAAGAGATATTTTCACTCCCATGTTTATTGCAGCCCAATTCACAGAGAAAGTTATGGAATCAATCTATATATTCAACAATGGTTAAATGGATAAATAAAATGTGATATATATACACAAAATGGAATTCTATTTAGCCATGAGGAAGACTGTAATCCTGTCATTTGCAATAACATCGATGAATCTTGAGGATGTTAAGTGAGATAAGCCAGACACAGAAACACAAGCGGAGTATGTTCTCATGTGAAATCTAAAAAAAATTGTCTCACAGAAGTAGTGAATAAATCAGTGGTTATCAGAGACTGGGGAAAGTAGGAGGGAGACGAAGATGAAAAGAGGATGGTCAATGGATACAAAGTTACAATCAGAAAGGAAAAATAATTTCTAGTGTCCTATGGCACAGTAGTGTAACTACAACCAAAAATTAGGTATGATATATAAAAAAATAGCTAAAAGAGAGGGTTTTGTGTGTTCTAATCACAAAGAAATTATAACTCTTTAAGATGATGGATATGCTGATTATTCTAATTTGATCATTGCAAAATATGCACACATATTAAAGCATTACATTGTGCCTCATAAATATGTACAATTATTATGTGTTCATTAAAAACTACTTTCTTCACTAGTAAGAATTTATAACTTAAAAAGGTTAGGTGGCAGATTATATATAGTGCAATAGAAAAATAGTGATGTGGAAGAAATGTCTAAAGAAATTATTCTGACTAAAGTTTAAATAACTAAAAAATAGAAAATATTTTAAAAAGCTAAGATACTTGGAAAACAAAAACTACCAAACTTTCTAGCAAGAGAAAACAAAACGAAAGAAAAAAAAATGAGAGTTCAGGACTTGAAGAGACCATGGCTATTGATTTTCAAGAGTTGGTAAAAGCCATTGATCTTCAAACCTTGGAAACTCACTGGGCTCCAAGCAGAGTAAACATCAAAGTACGTTAGTTACATAATTCACACCTAGATGCATGGTACTGAAACCTAAAAATTAAAACAAAAGAATTTAAGAAAGAAAAAGTGATTGTATGTGTATAATAGGGGTGGGTGGAGAAGATAAAAAGAGAGAATCTCCAAAGTAAAGCAATTAGATTGACAATGAACTTCTTAACAGTAAAAATAGAAGCCCTGAGACCTTAGGATAATATCATTTATGTTGTCAGAAAATATAAACTTTAGTTCTGCATCCAGAAGCATTGCATATTATAAAGGAAGGTAAAGTTAGTTTTTAGCCAAAAAAAATAAACCCAGAGAGTTTACCCGTAATATATTCTATTTAAAGATTTGAAAGTCTTTAAGGGAAATTATCCCAAATCGAAGATCAGAGGTGAAAGAAGGTAGAGTTTGAAGATATTTTTTAAAATGGTTAACTGAAACAAATATTGACTGTGAAATGTAATAATGCTCAATTTATATATCTAATATTTCTGTGCTAATATGCCAGGCCAGGAATGTTTTTGAATATGTGTTAATCATTAGTAAAGTTAAATCATTTCATCAGTCTTTTGAGGAATATACTATCATTATCTGTGAAAACACAGAGAAGTTGGTGAAGGCAAAAAGTCCCACAGCAATTATGCAGCAGGGCCAAGGTTTAAACACAGTGTGGCATCTGCACTTTTGTGCACTATTCTTGAGGTTTTTCTAATTTGTGGAGAAAAGAAAGAGGTAATAATAAAACTATTGACAATCACAACTGAGATAATACCCTCATATTTAGATCTATGCAGCTTTATCAGAATTATTTAATGAAACAAAGACATTACTGTATATATAATCTCTGTAAATTAAAAATTATCCTACTGTAACCATAGCATGATCCATAATGTAACTTATTGTCAAACATCATCTGCGGTGGTTCTTCAATCTCTTTAGATGCTTACTCAAGGTGAAGAATAATATGGCAAGATTATTTAAAATAAAAGAAATATTTTTGTTTTATTCCATGTAAAACCAAGCTAGGACTTGAAGGGAATGCCTCAACAGATTATATGACCAGTTTCAAAAGCTATTTACTGAGCTTCCAATTATATACAGATATTATGCTATATCCCTTCCCATTAAATTAAAACATATTATCTTCATTCCTTTTTCACAAACAATGACATAAGTTTATTGATTTGTCCAAGAAAGAATATGGTTTGCTAAGGGGTGGGTACGATTTTGATCCCAGCTCCCTAGAAACCAAGATCAAACAACTCTGTGTATTTGTTCTTATATCAGGACCGTCAAAAATAATTGGGTTGATTTTTAGCTCATTTTCAAAAGAAATTTTAAGACAAGAAAATAAACTGGGTATCCATTAATCTCATAAAAATAGAAACACTATATCTAAAACTAATGATTCTTTTTTGTTTCACTTCCTGTGAAGAAAGTTTCTTAATTGCTACTGTTTAGCTGAAGAGTATCTTCTGATACTTTTTCACCTTTGTTAAAGTCAAACTGATTTTCTTGGATACGCTGAAGTTTTAAACAAGCAAATTAACCAATCTACAAGACCCACATTTTTTCTCTGTCACCCTTCACCAAGTTCTTACTTAACAGTATTTAAATGAATGAAAGATGTTAATAGTTCATCAATCAGTTAATTCTCTCTAATGTTTATTACTTTAAAGACAGGGATCTCTAATCTGCTTCCCTCTCACTCGCATTTTTGGTTCAATGTGTTTTTATTTGGCAATTATTGATTATTTTGTTGAAACCTGGCAGTTTGATAATGACCTACAGGGTTCTTAGACCTTCTTATATTAGGAGTAGTAGTCCACATTTACCCTGCATAGTCTACTGTTTCTTTGCTAATTGCATGAACTTCAGGTTTTGTAAAATCTGCCAGTTGCCTTGAACAAAGAGCTTAATGTGAGATTTGTTTCAGACAAAAAAGATGGAATTTGGAGGACAAGACAAGAGATACTAAGAAGAGTAAACCCAATAAACAGACTGCAGCACAGAAAGGGTAAGTGATACTACATCACACTTGAGATGATCAAAGACATCCCAGTACTAGATTTGAAAGACAGGAGAAAATCGTCACATAGGAGAGAGGATGTAGCCATGCTATACTAGAGGAAGAAAGATTCAAGGAGGAGGAACATAGTCAAAAAATTATGTTCCTGAGTCCCAGGTATGGCTACTTTGAACTCTGTGTTATAGGAGAAGCCACAGTAAAGTCTTTGAACTCCAGTTTGCTAAGCTCTTATTTTGGAACCTCTTCATATTACTCAGGTTGTTTCTCTCCTCCTTGGAGGCTTTCTCCAGGAAGAAATGTTCTATGGGCTAATGACATGTGGAAAATTATAATATTTCTTTGAACTGTTAAATAATTTAACAGTGGAAAATAATAATATTTCTTTGAACACTGAAGGTATTCTTGGACACAGATCAGAGTAAATGTACAGCGATGTATCAAGCTATGAAATCAAGTATAAAGATTCAGAAATGCTAACCTTTTTGAATTTATGTTTGTGGTTCTATTATTACATTATCAATAACCTCACCAGGTTTAATAAACCTTCAGATACAACTTTCTGAGCATGCTTAGTCTCAAACAGGCTGACTACTAAGTTATCTCAATATACCTATAGTCTACACTATTATTTAATATCTATGCACATTGTTTCGAAAATATAAATACTACAGCATAAAGACTCGAAAAATTAAATCAGAATTTGAGGTAAGCTGGAATTTATCAACAGTTTACCTAAAGCATCTGATATTTGAGAAACGAGGGAGAAGGACTCACTGCTTTTTAATTTTCTTAGATCCAAATTCTAGCATTATATCAAACTGGATCATCACAAAGCAAAGTAATGGATTGTGTTATGTCTGCCCCCTACAGATACACCTTCACTGAATTATGAATTAATGTTATGCCCTCATTTTGGATAACTTGGCCAAAGCTGCCTAAGCCTGATTAGATTGTGTTTCCCCGTGGGTATTAAAATAGCAAGTAGGGCATGATGCTTGCTTTTCTGTAGGGAAAGTTGTGAAGCTGGATGCTGAGTGGCTGTTTCTGCATAGTCAGTGATGCAACACAAATCTGATCAGGATTCTGTAACCAATATTTTGACTTTGACTTTCTGTGTAAATATGTGTATGTATGTGTGTGTGTTTGAAAACATACAGCTAAAAATATTACCTATTACTTTACCCTGTGATATTCAGTTATTTATACTAATACTCTGCTAACAATAATGAAATATTATTATGGCTTACTAGTGTTCACTTAATTCTTTTTAAGGAGGCCTATAATCTCAATAATAATGATGATTCTTAAGGCTATGTGATATAAAATCCATTTTAGATTAAGTCAGTGGCTAAATGAAAAAATTAAAATGCAGAATTATTCATGACTAATATTCTGAGGAAAAGAGATAAGAAATAAATGTGAATATTTTCAGAGATAGCATAAATAAACTTGAAGAATTTCAGTGGAACTATTTATTCACAAAACATTTTAAGAGAAAAGAGAAATAGTGTAAAAAGATTAGATATTACTCTCATACTAGCAAGAAATAAATAGCACACAGTAAAATCAAAGTCACAATGTTGATAACCTTTAACAATTTGTGATGATATGGGATTGGAATATATCAACATAGAAATATAGAACCTGACAAAATTAGAAGTACTGTTGTTGCATGCAGTCCTTGCTGAATTTTATTGAAAAGATACATGGCAGTGGCATTTCTTCAGGGTTCTCTGTTAGACTATCATTTACAAACAAACAGTGTTTCTCAGAATTTGGCATCTAAAAAAGTCATCTGGAGAAGCTTTTTAAAAAGTCACATACCTACTCTCCACACTCTTTCTCCCTAACTCCACTCTCCCACAAGAAATGGAGAAATATATTTAGTACCTCTGCAGTAGAACCCTAGTCGCTCGACTTTTGATAATTTTAGATAATTTTGTTGTGGGTGACTTATGGACTATGATTTTAGACAATTTTGTTGTAGGTGGCCTATGGACTATGATTTGAGAAATGCTAATTTTTATTTTACATTAATCAGGAAACTAATTGTAGTTTAAAATTTCAAATCATAGTAAAAGAATATACAAATGCTATGTTATGGGTAAAGGGATTTAAAAATGCTGTTTTACGATGGTTTCTGAGGCAGCATAATGCAGTGGCTCAGGGAGTAGGCATTAGAGTTAGAGAACTGCATGTGGGCCTTGTTTCCAGCACATTCTGGTCACATGATCCTGAATGCATCGTTTAAATTCCTTGAGCCCTAGTTTCCACTCTGTAAAATGGAGATAATAATGTTCAAAGCACAATATTATTATGAGAATTAAAGAATACAGAAAATGGAAAAC
This sequence comes from Homo sapiens, assembly GCF_000001405.40. Classification (NCBI taxonomy): domain Eukaryota; kingdom Metazoa; phylum Chordata; class Mammalia; order Primates; family Hominidae; genus Homo; species Homo sapiens. Next base: position 166,958,684 of record NC_000003.12, on the reverse strand, counting down.
ACTCAGCACAGTCCTTGGCACATTGTAGTATTTTTTTCTATATTTTCACCATAATTACTCTACTTGGCATTTGCTGTAACTTGTAAATCACTTCAAATATTTTAAGTAGGTTATAAGTTACTTACAGAACCGTACAATTTTTCTTGATAATTATTAAATGAGAATATAGGTAAATTTAATTTTAAAGTTTAACAAAACCTGTGATGCGATTGAAATCATTCAAAATGTAAAATAATGCAGAAAATGTTTTATGCTATATCACAAAATCATAAATTTATGTCATAAGATCACCAAAATTAAAATAACTATAATATAATTGGGCTTCAAAAATATTCCTGCTAGCATGAGTTTCGAAGTAGTTTAATTGTCTTTGAAGAAAACAAAATGAAATGCAAGACTTAGTCCTTGTGGAAATAAGCTGCTAAAAGGAAAAATAATTATTGTGCATGGGGCAGGATAAGTATGATCAGAAAGTTTTACATATCTATAGAAATTAGTATCTAATATCAACATAATGACCACTTTAAAAGACAACAAAAGGGATACACAAAATGATTTGCTACTTTTGAACATTGTTAATATTTCATCCCACATTGACAGAACTCCACCAATAAATTCATGAATATTGGATTAGATTCCAAACCTTTTGCAACACAAACTGACTTCTTTATGTTTACACTAAGACCTTTGTTAATTTGGCAGTAAATGTGACATTTCCTCAGAATCCTGATAATTTTTTGGCCCTTTCTTAATGTGCTCATGGGCATTAGGACATTAGCAGATATTCAAAAGTATTGCGTGCAATGATGATTTCACTGAGGGCAAATACCAAAATTCTGCTACTGCTTTTAGCATCAATTTAGCATTAGTTTACTTTCTAGTTCACACGTGTAGTTTGGTTTCAACCTCTGGTGTCTTCAACAATGATGCTATGAAGAAGAGGGAGATGATCTTACTCTCCTAGTTAACTTGAAGAAGACTAAGAAGATGCCACATTTACTGGGATGTGCCATCATTAGCACATAGTAACTTTGTGAATATCAGAAAAAGATGAACGTTCCTCCAAACAGATAGCACACCATATGCCAGAACTTAAGATTTGGCAAGTGGGATTCAGGCTAGAATTCATTCTCATCTTTTCCCCTTAGTAGAGTGCTCTTGCACAGACTCTGGCCTATATAACCATCTAAACCTGGTCAGCCTGGGGTCCCCAGTGGAAGTCACTGGCCTGATGGCCTGATTCCCCAGCTGCTGCATGATCTTAATGGGTCTTGGCACTGCTATTTCCTCTGGGTTTAGGATACCCCAGGTGCATGCTGGGCAGAGCAAGAACCCTGTTGGATCAGAATTTCCATAATCTTCCCACTGCATTAGCTGCCAGTGCCCACAGCTGCTTTGGTCCACAGCTTGCGTTCTGAGGTCTCTGGCACACGTCTTTGTTGGGGAGATCAAAACGTAGATTCATGCCAACTGGAGGGGCATTTTTTCAAGCATAAAAAATTCCCAAAGCTCATTAATATAGGCAGCTTTTAGGCAGGGAAAAGCATAAGATTTATAGGTTCAATTACTTTCCAACTATAACCTTTATCAGTTTGAATCACTTAACTTTTTATGTTTATATATTTTCAGTGTTTTTTTTTTGGTTGATAGATACAGCAAAAAATACTAGGTTAAGGAGTATTTTAATAAATTATAGAAAAATGTTTCAATTTTAAGATAAAGCTAAATCAAGTTTTGTCATCTGGTCAGGTCCAGGACCAGGGAGGTGGCTTGTTCAGGAAAGAGTTAACTCAACAGGTCTGGGATATTCAAATCCCACACATTTCGAAAAAAAGTTCTCTCCTCATTGGCTCCTGGGAGAAAATCTCTACGTCTTTGGACTATTCTTCCAGGTAAGACTGTATTCATATGTCTAAGTTCCTTTGGCCATAGCAGATAACTTATGCTAACAATGAAACTTGAGAGAGTATTTGGGTCATAATGCATCAGTTTGACTTCTGGAGGGGTTGGAGACAGAATAAAGCCAACCATGTGATTGCTCTATGCCTATGTGGGCAGTTTGCAAAAAAAAAAAAAAACAAAACAAAAAAACCCTGGAGAATGAAGCTCAAGTGAGCTTCTCTGTTAGGAAATATTCCATATGTATTGACACACATCATTGGTAAAAGAATTAAATGCTGTTCACACAACTTTACTAGAAGAAGATAACTGAAGCTTGGGCCTAGTATCTCCTGGACTCTGCCCTATACATCTTTTAACTTTGCTGATTTCAATGTGTATTCTTTTGTTGTGATAAACCGTAATTGAGAATCTAAAAACTTTTCTGAGTTCTGAGTCCTTCTAACACAACTTAATGACTCCTGACACAGTAATAAGAGTCACACAGGGTGGTCTTGGGAACACCTGACAGAGTAGTGAGAAATTTTCTATTTTACTTGTATTTGAAAAAATGCAAATGAAAACAGATGAAATGCCATGTTATTGTGGTAAAACAATAGAAATATTAATTGTAGTCAGTGTTAGGAAGTATATTGAGGATGGAATTGAGATGGCAGACAGGAGGCAGGACTAGCTTGCAGCTCCCACTTGGACAGAGCAGTGTGTGGAGACTCGTATCATAAACTTTTGCTCCAAGAACCACGACAGGAAGATAAGAGGAAAGCCGAGGGAATTCACAGACCCTTTGAAGGAACTGGATCACCACTACAAGCTCCCTGAGAGGCCATAATACTATGAGTCTGCTTGCTTTCTCAATGGGGAGACTCACGGTCTGGGGCAAGTTCTCAGCCCTGGTCACCGGCTGCCTGGAAATAGACTCATTGCTGTTTGTGGGGCATGGTGAGAGTGAGACTGGCCTTTAGGACTGTGAGTTGAGTGGGAGCAGGGTGAAGCCTGTGACTGCAAGATCTCCCTCAGTTCCCTGGTGACTTGTATGACTCAGCAGAGGCAGCTATAATCCCCTTGGCAATATAATTCCACTGGACTGGGAACCACACCCCATCCGCCAAAGCAACCACAGCAAGCCCTGACCAAGGAGAGGCTGAGCTCGGACACACCTATCCCTGCCCCCACCTGGTGGTCTTTCTCTACCAGCCATGGTAGTGGAAGAGAAAGGTCATAATCTCTTTGGAGCTCTGTGGCCCTGCCCACTGCCTGAGAAAATTGAACAGTTAACCAGGTGTCCTTAGGGCAAGTTTGCATCCTCCCTGTAGGACCACAGCTGATGTGCTCTTGAAAGTGCCACCCCCTGGCTGGAGGCCAATGAACACAAAACCAAGACGCTAAACAAAAACACAACTCCACAGACTCCGCTTCACTCCCTGCTACCTCACAGACTTCACTTCACTCCCTGCTACTACCACCAGAGCAATGCTGGTATCCGTGGCTGCAAGACCTGAAGATGGATTACATCACAGGACTCCTTGCAGACACTCCCCAGTACCAACCCAGGGCCCAGTAGCTCTTCTAGGTGGCTAGACACAGAAGAGCAAAAACAATCAATACAGTTTGGCACTCAGAAAGCCCCATTCCTAGGGGAGGGGGAAGAACACCACATCAAGGGATCACCCCACGAGACAAAAGAATCTGAATAGCAGCCGTTGAATTCCAGATCTTCCCTCTGACATATTCTATCCAAATGAGAAGAAACCAGAAAGACAATTCTTGTAATATGACAAAACAAGGTTCTTTAACACCCCCAAAAGATCATACTAGCTCACCAGAAGTGGATCCAAACTGAGATGAAATCTCCAAATTCCCAGAAAAAGAATTGAGAAGTTGATTATTAAGCTAACCAGGAGGCACCAGAGAAAGGTAAAGTTTAACTTAAATAAATCAAAAACATGATACAGGATATGAAAGGAAAATTTTTCAGTGAAATAGCATAAATAAAAAACAACCACACCTTCTTGAAATGAAGGACACACTCAAAGAAATGTAAAATGCATTGGAAAGTCTCAGCAAACAAGCAGAAGAAAGAACTTCAGAGCTCAAAGGCAAGGCCTTCAAATTAATCCAATCCATAAAAGACAAAGAAAATATAATTTTAAAAAATGAACAAAGACTCCAAGAGGTTTTGGACTATGTTAAATGTCCAAGCCTAAGAAGAATTGGTATTCCCAAGGAAAAAGAGAAATCTAAAAGTTTGAAAAACATATCTGCGGGAATAGTTGGGGAAAACTTTCCCAGCCTTGCCAGAGATCTACACATCCAAATACAAGAAGCTCAAAGAACACCAGGAGAATTCATTGCAAAAAGACCATCACCTAATCAAATAGTCATCAGGTTATCTAAAGTCATGACAAAGGAAAGAATCTTAAGAATTGTGAGGTAAAAGCATCAGGTAACCTATGTAGGAAAACCTATAAGACAACTGAAGCTTGGGACTCTGCCCTATACACCTTTTAAATTTGCTGATTTCAATCTGTATTCTTTTGTTGTAATAAACCATAATCGAGAGTCTAAAAACTTTTCTGAGTTCCACGAGTCCTTCTAACACATCTTAATGCCTCCTGACACAGTAATAAGAACCACACAGGGTGGTCTTGGGAACACCGACAGAGTAGTGAGAAATTTTCTATTTTACTTGTATTTGAAAAAAATGCAAATGAAAACAGATAAAATGCCATGTTAATGTGGTAAAACAATAGAAATATTAATTGCAGCTAGTGTTAGGAAGTATATTGAGGATGGTATTAAGAGGGCAGACAGGAGGCAGGACTAGCTTGCAGCTCCCATTTGGACAGAGCAGTGTGTGGAGACTCGTATCATAAACTTTTGCTCCAAGAACTACCACAGGAATTCTGTAGATTTCTTAGCAGAAATCCTACAACCTCGAAGGGATTAGCATCCTATTTTTGGCCCCCTTAAACAAAACAATTATCAACCAAGAATTTTGTATCCAGTGAAACTGAGCTTCACAAATGAAGAAAATATAGTCTTTTCCAGACAAACAAATGCTGAGATAATTTGCCACTACCAATCCAGCACTATAAGAACTGCTAAAGGAGCTCTAAATCTTGAAACAAATCCTAGAATTACACCAAAATAGAACCTCCTTAAAGCATAAATCTCACAGGACCTATATAACAATAACAAAATTAAAAACAACAATAACAACAACAACGAGGTATTCAGGCAATAAAAAAGCATGATGAATGTAATAGTATCTCACATCTCAATACTAACATTGAGTGTAAATTGCCTAAATGCTCCACTTAAAAGATACAGAATGTCAGATGAATAAAAATTCACCAAGCAAGTTTCTCTTGTCTTCAGGAGACTCACCTAACACATAAAGACTCACATAAACTTAAGGTAAAGGGGTGAAAAAAGATTTTCCACGCAAATGGACTTCAAAAGTGAGCAGGGGTAGCTATTCTTATATCAGACAAAACCAACTTTAAAGCAACAGCAGTTAAAAAAGACAAAGAGGGACATTATATAATGATAAAAGGAACCGTCCCAATAGGAAAATATCACAATTCTAGATATATATGCACTGAACATTGGAACTCCCAAAGTTATAAAACAATTACTACTAGACCTAAGAATTGAGATAGACAATAGTAGTGGGAGATTTTAATACTCCACTGACAGCACTAGAGAGGTTATCAAGACAGAAAGTCAACAAGGAAACAATGGAGTTAAACCTAACTCTACAACAAATGGGCTTAACAGATCTTTACAGAACACTCTACCCAACAACTGCAGAATATACATTCTATTATCAGCACATGGAACATTTTCCAAGACAGACCATATCATAGGCAAAAAAAAAGACTCAGTAAATTTAAGAAAATCAAAATTATATCAAGTACTCTCTCAGACGACAGTGGAATAAAATTGGAAATCAACTCCAACAGGAACTCTCAAAACCAGGCAAATAAATAAAACATAAATAACGTGCTCCTGAATGATTACTGGGTCAACAATGAAATTAAGTTGGAATACAAAAAATTCTTTAATCCGAATGATAATAGTGACACAACCTATCAAAACCTCTGGAATACAGCAAAAGTGGTACTAAGAGGAAAGTTCATATCTTTAACTGCCTACATCAAAAAGTTTGAAAGATCACAAATAGATAATCTAACATCACACCTCACAGAAATGGAGAAACAAGAACAATCCAAACCCAAACCCAACAGACAAAAAGAAAGGATGAAGATCAGAGCAGAACTAAATAAAATTGAAAGAAAAAAATACAAAAGGTAAATAAAACAAAAAGCTGATTATTTAAAAGGATAAATAAAATTGATAGACCATTAGCAAGAATAGCCAATAAAAGAAGAGAGAAGATTCAAATAAGATCAATTAGAAACAAAACAGGAGATATTACAACTGATACCACAGAAATACCCTAGAGAAGATGGATAAATTCCTAGAAATATGCAACCCTCCTAGATTAAACCAGGATGATATAGAATCTCTGAACAGACCAATAACAAGAAGCAAGATTGACATGGTAATAAAAAAATTGCCAACAAAAAAGTCCAGGAACAGATGGACTCACAGCTAAATTATATCAGACATTCAAAGAATTATTGGTACTAATACTATTGACACTATTCCAAAAGACAGAGAAAGAGGGAATTGTCTCTAAATCATTCTATGAAGCCAGTATCATCCTAGTACCAAAACCAGGGAAGGGTATAACGAAATAGAAAGCTACAGACCAATATCCTTCATGAATATAGATGCAAAAATCCTCAACAAAATACTAGCAAACCAAATCCAATAGCATATCAAAAAGATAATATGCCATGATCAAGTTTGTTTCATACCAGGGATGCAGAGATGGCTTAACATATGTAAGTCAATAAATGTTATACATCACATAAACAGAATTAAAAGCAAAAATCACATCATCATCTCAATAGATGTGGAAAGAGTATGTGACAAAATTCAGCATCCTTTTATGTTAAAACCCTCAGCAAAATTGGCATAGAAGGGACCTAACTTAAAGTAATAAAAGTCATCTATGACAAACCCACAGCCAACATACTGAACAGGGAAAAGTTGAAAGCATTTGCTCTGAGAACTGGAAAAAGACAAGGATGCCCACTTTCACCACTTCTATTCAACATAGTACTGGAAGACATTGCCAGAGCAATTAGACAAGACAAATAAATGAAGGGCAGGCATCCAAACTGGTAAAGAGGAAGTCAAATGATTGCTGTTTGCTGATGATATAATCGTATATCTAGAAAACCTTAACAACTCATCCTCAAAGCTCCTAAAACTAGTAAATAAATTCAGCAAGGTTTCAGGATACAAAGTTAATTTACACAAATCAGTAGCTCTGTTATACACCAACAATGATCAAGCTCAGAATCATATCAACGAATCAACTGCTTTCACAATAGCCACACATAAAAATAAAATACTTAGAAATATACCTAACCAAGGATGTGAAATAACTCTATAAGAAAAACTACAAAACAATGCTGAAAGAAATCATAGATGACACAAACAAATGGAAACATGTTCCCATACTCATGGATGGATAGAATCAATATTGTGAAAATGATCATACTGCCAAAAGCAATCTACAAATCCAATGCAATCCCCATCAAAATACCACCATCATTCTTCACAGAACTAGAAAAAGCAATCCTAAAATTAATATGGAATCAAAAAAGAGCCTGCATAGTCAAAGCAAGACTAAGCAAAAAGAACAAATCTGGAGGCATCACATTATCTGACTTCAAACTATACTATAAGGCCATAGTCACCAAAACAGCATGGTACTGGTATAAAAATATGCATATAGACCAATAGTAAATAATAGAAATAAAGCCAAATACTTACAGCCAACTGATCTTTGACGAAACAAACCAAAACATAAAGTGGGGAAAGGACACCCTATTCAACAAATGGTCCTGGGATAATTGGTAAGCCACATGTAGAACAATGAAACTGGATCCTCATCTCTCACCTTATACAAAAATCAACTCAAGCTGAATCAAGGACTTAAACCTAAAATGTGAAATCATAAAGATTTTAGAAGATAACATCAGAAAAACCCTTCTAGACATTGGCTTAGGCAAAGACTTCATGACCAAGAACCCAAAAGCAAGTGAAACAAATACAAAGATAAATAGATGTGACTAAAAAGCTCCTGCACAGCAAAAGAAATAATCAGCAGGGGTAACAGACAACCCACAAAGTGTGAGAAAAATCTTCACAATCTACACATTCAACAAAGGGCTAATATCCAGAATCTACAATGAACTTAAACAAATCAGCAAGAAAAAATAAATGATCCCATCAAAAAGTGGGCTAAAGACATGAATGAACAATTTCAAAAAGAAGATATACAAACGGCCAACAAGCATACGGAAAAATGCTCAACATCACTCGTTATCAGGGCAATGCAAATCAAAACCACAATGTGATGCTACCTCACTCCTGGAAGAATTGCCATAATAAAATAAATAATAAAAAAATAGATGTTGTCGTGGATGTGGTGAAAAGGGAACACTTTTACACTGTTTGTGGGAATGTAAACTAGTAAAACCACTATGGAAATCAGTGTGGAGATTCCTTAAAGAACTAAAAGAACTAAAAGTAGATCTACCGTTTGATCCAGCACTCTCATTACTAGGTATCTACCCAGAAAAATGGAACTCATTATGCAAAAGAGACACTTGCACATGCATGTTTACAGCAGCACAATTTGCAATTGCAAAATATGGAACCAACCCAAATGCCCATCAATTGATGAGTGGATAAAGAAAACGTGGTATGTATATATGTGTATGTGTGTGTGTGTGTGTGTATGTGTGTGTGTGTATATATAGTATAGATTATATATCAAAAAGATAATACACCATGATCAAGTTTGTTTCATACCAGGGATGCAGGGATGGCATATATATAATCTATATATATAATGGAATACTAGTTAGTCATAAAAAGAACTTGGATTAAATTGGAGACTGTTATTCTAAGTGAAATAACTCAGAAATGGAAAACCAAACAACTTTTGTTCTTACTCATATGTGTGAGCTAAGCTATGAGGATACAAAGGCTTAAGAATAATACATTGGACTTTCAGAACTTGGAGGAAAAGGTGGAGGGTGGTGAGGGATCAAAGACTACACATAGGGTACAATGCACAATGCTCGAGTGATGGGTGCACCAAAATCTGAGAAATTACCACTAAAGAACTTGTTCATGTAACCAAACACCATCTGTTCCCCAAAAACCTATTGAAGTACAAAAATAAAAAATTGAAATAAAAAAATGAAATACTTGATGGATGGTAAACAAAAAGGAAGTAGATTGATAAATATACATTCTGATAAGTCTTGGTGGAAATCTAAATTTATATAGTTTTCCTTTAAAATGTTTTTTTAACTTGAAATTTTCATATTATTTATCTGATGACTACTGTATACAGATAAATATTTGTTTCAATATTATTTTTATCATTTATTATTATTTTTAGGGTTTATTTTCAGTTCAAGGATACATGTCCAGGTTTGTTACATAGGTAAATTATGTATCACAGAGGCATGGTGTACAGATTATTACATCACCCTGGTAATAAGCATAGTAACTGGTAGGTAGTATTTTGATGCTCTCCCTCCCACTACTCTACACCCTCAATGTTTAGATCCCACTTACAAGGATCGAAATATTTGAACATGTGTAATCAATGTTTAGATCCCACTCATAAGAGAGAACATGAGGTATTTGGTTTTTTGTTTCTACATCAGTTTGCTTAGAAAAATGACCTACAGCTGGCCGGGCACGGTGGCTCATGTTTGTAACCCCAGCACTTCGGGAGGCCGAGGCGGGTGGATCACGAGGTCAGGAGATTGAGATCATCCTGGCTAACACGGTGAAACCCTGTCTCTACTAAAAATACAAAAAAAAATTAGCTGGGCGTGGTGGTGGGCGCCTGTAGTCCCAGCTACTCGGGAGGCTGAGGCAGGAGAATGGCATGAACCCAGGAGGTGGAGCTTGCAGTGAGCTGATATCACGCCACTGCACTCCAGTCTGGGTGACAGAGAGAGACTCTGTCTCAAAAGAAAAAAAAAAGAAAAAAAGAAAACTGACCTACAGCTTCATCCATGTTGCTGCAAAGAACACAGTTACTATTTTTTATGGCTGTGTACTGTGTACTATTCCATGGTGTATATATACTATCCCTTGTTTGCCAGTCTAATATTTATGGGCATTTAGGTCGAGTCCATATTTTTGCTATTGTGAATAGTGATATGATGAACATAGGCATGCATGTGTACTTATAATAGATCAATTTATATTCCTTTGGGTATTTACCTAATAATGGGATAGCTGGGTTGAATGGTAATTCTGTTTAAGGTTTTTTAAGAAATCTCCAGACAGCTTTCCACAGTGGTTGATTTAACTTACACTGCCAAAAGCTGCCTATTAGAGTTTCCTTTCTCTGCAACCTCACCAATATATTTTTATTTTCATTTTTTATTGATAGTCTTTCTGATTGATGTGGAGTGGTATCTCATTGCGGTTTTGAAATGCATTTCTCTAGTGATTAGTGATGCTGAACATTTAAAAATATACCTGTTTGCCACGTGTATGTCTTCTTTTGAAAAATGTCTGTTCATTTATTGTACCCACTTACTGAGTTGTTTTTTGCTTATTTATTTAATTTCTTTATAGATTCTGGATATTAGACCTTTGTGTGATGCATAGTTTGCAAACATTTTCTCTCATTCTGTAGGTTGTCTGTTTACTCTATTGATAGGGTCTTTTGCTGTGCAGGTATTTAGTTTAATTAGGTCCCATTTGTCAATTTTTGATTTTGTTACACTCACTTTTGGAGTCTTCACCATAAAATCTTTGTCAGGGCCTATGTCCAGAATGGTATTTCCTAGGTTTTCTTTTAAGATTTTTATAGTTTTTGGTTTTACATTTAAGTCTTTCATCCATCTTTAGTTGATTGTTGCAAATGGTATAAGGAAAGGGTCTAGTTTCAATTTACTGCATATGGATATACAGTTATCCCAGCACCATTTACTAAATATGGAATCCTTTCTTCATTTCTTCTTTTCGTTGACTTTGTCAAAGATCAGAGATCAGATGGTTGTGTGTAGCTGTATTTCTGGGCTCTCTATTCTGTTCTATTGGTCTACATATCTGTTTGTTTTTTTTTTAATATCAGTACCATACTGCTTAAGTTAGTTTAGCCTTGTAGTATAGTTTGAAGTTGGGTAGTGTGATGCCTCTAGATTTGTTTTCTTTGTCTAGGATTGTTTTAGCTATTCAGGCTCTTTTTTGTTCCACACAAATTTTTTTAAAGTTTATAATTGTGTGAAGCATGTCATTGGTAGTTTGATAGGAATAGCATTGAATCTGTAAAGTGCTTTGAGCAGTATGGCCATTTTAACAATATTGATTATTTTTATTCCTGAGCATGAATTTTTTTCCATTTGTTTGTGTCATATCTGAGTTATTTGAGCAGTGTTTTGTAATTCCCATTTTAGAGAATATTCACCTCTCTGGTTAGCTGTATTCCTAGGTATTCTATTTATTTTGTGGCTACTGTGAGAGGGATTATGTTCGTGACTTGACTATCTGCTTTGACATTGTTTTATAGAAATGCTACTATTTTTTACATTGATTTTGTATCCCAAAACTTGGCTGGTTGTTTTTTTAGATCTAGGAACTTTTGAGAAGAGATAATGGGTTTTTCTACTATCGAATCATGTAATCTACAAGCAGAGATAATTTGACTTCCTCTCTTCCTATTTGGATGAGTTTTATTTCTTTTTCTTACCCAATTGCTCTGGCTAGAAATTCAAGTACTACGTTGTATAGGAGTGGTGAGAGAGGGCATCCTTATTTTGTTCTGGTTCTCAGGGAGAATGCTTCCAGATTTTGTCCATTCAGTAGGATGTGTGCTGTGTGCTTGACATAGATGGCTTTTATTGTTATGAGCCATGTTCCTTTGATGCCCTGTCTGTTGAGAGTTTTTCACATGAAGGGATGTTGAATTTTATTGAAAGCCTTTCTGTGTCTATTGAGATGATCATATGTGGTTTTATTTAGTTATATTTATGTGATGAATAACGTTTATTGATTTAAATATGTTGAATTAACCTTGCTTCCAAGGGATAAAGACTACTTGATCCTGTGGGTTCATTTTAATATGCTGATAGATTTTGTTTAATAGTATTTTGTTGATAATTTTTGCATCTATGTTAATCAAAGATATTGGCCTGAAGTTTTCTTTATTTGTTTTGTCTTTGCCAGGTTTTGGTATCAGGATGATGCTGAACTCATAGAATGAGTTAGGGAGAAATTCTTTCTCATCAATTTTTTGGAATAGTTTCAGTAGGAATGATACCAGGTTTTCTTTATACACCTGCTATAATTTGACTGTGAAGTCATCAGTTCCTGGACTTTTTCTGATTGGCAGACTTTTTTTTAATAATTCAATTTTGGAATTCATCATTGGTCCCTTCAGAGATTCAATTTCTTCCTGCTTTAATCTTTGGAGGTTGTATGTTTCCAGGGATTTGTCTATTTCCTCTATGTTTTCCAGTTTTTGTGTATAGAGTTGTTTATAATGATCTCTGAGTGCTTTTTACATTTCTCTGTGGTCAGTGGTAATGCCCCTGTCATCATTTCTGATTTTTATTTGGATATTCTTATTTTTCTTTGTTAGTCTAGCTAGTGGTATGTCTATCTTATTTATTCCTTCAAAGTAGCAATCCCTGGATTCATTGATCTTTTGTATGATTTCTTGCACCTCAATTTCCTTCAGTTCAACTTGGATTTAGATGATTCCCTTTGTTCTGCTGGCTTTTGGGTTTGCTTGCTCTTGTGTTTCAAGTTCCTCTAGGTGTGATGTTATGTTGTTAATTTGAAGTCTTTCTAATTTTTGATGTGAGCATTTAGTACTATACATTTGCCTCTTAACACTGCTTTGGATGTGTCCCAGAGATTCTGGTATGTTGTATGTTTATTCTTATTAGTTTCAAAGAATTTCTTGATTTCTGCATTAATTTTATTATTTAACCAAAAGTCTTTCAGGAGCAAGTTGTTTAATTTCCATGTAATTTTGTAGTTTTGAGCAATTTTCTTAGTATTAATGTATATGTTCATTGTGCTATGATCTGAATGTTTTTAATATGATTTTCTTTTTAAAAATTTGCTGAGAATAGTTTTATAACTATGTAGTTAATTTTAGAGTATATGTCATGCACAAATGAGAAGAACACATATTCTACTGGTTTTGGGTGAAGAGTTCTGTAGATGTCTGTTAGGTTCATTTGGTCAAATGTTGAATTCAGGTTCCAAATATCTGTCAGCTTTCTGACTCAATGGTCTATCTAATACTATTAGTAAGGTGTTGAACTTTCCCACTGTTATTGTGTGGTTATCTGTCTCTTTGTAGGTCTCTAAGAACTTGCTTTATGAATCTGGGTGCTCCTGTGTTGGGTTCATATATATTTAGGATAGTTAAGTCTTCTTGTTGAATTAAACACTTTACCATTCTGTAATGGCCTTGTCTTTTTTGATTACTATTGGTTTAAACACTGTAATGTCTGAAATTAGACAGACATTAAGACATGCTACTTTCAGCTTTCCATTTGCTTGATAGATTTTTTAATCCCTTTATTTTGAGCCTATGGGTGTCTTTGCATGTGAGATGGGTCTTTTGAGGATAGCATACTGTTGGGTCTTGCTTCTTTCATCTTGACACTCTGTGCCCTTGAATTGGGGGCAATTAGGCTATTTACATTCAAGGTTAATATTGATATGTATGGCTTTGATCCTATCATTGTGCTGTTAGCTGGTTATTAATGTCAGCTTGATTGTGTAGTTGCATTGTAATGTTAATGGTCTATGTACTCAACCCTTTTCACATTTTCCCTGAGAATACTTGCTGGCAGCACTTATGGCTGCAGTGTTTACCCAGAGATAATTTTGCCACAAAATATCTTGCTTTTATTATTATTATTTTATCACTCTAATATATCAACTTTGGAAACAAAAGACATTTTATTTATAGCCTTCTGTTTTTAGTAGCATTTTCATTTACAAAATATAGTAATTCTCAATCACTGAAAATGTCAAATCCTAGAAAACGTAGCATTCCTACATGTGTTAACATCATTTTTGAACAGTTATTGGCTGAAGATTTAGTTGATGAATTTGATTTTTCCAAAATAGATGATTCTGATGATTAAGACAATTCTGATATAGTTATGTTTATCTAAGAACAGTTTTTGTATTTTATTTTCACATTGAAAATTAGTTATATTTGCTTCAGCCTCAAAGAATGTGTTTATGTAAAATTAAATGAGAGCTGGCAGTGAGCTGGCACCTTTTTTTATAAATAAGAAAAGGGTTAAGTGTGTTTTTGTGGTGGTAGATAATGATCTTTCCTTTTCATTTTTAGCACCTCCTTAAGGACCTCTTGTAAGGCAGGTCTGGTGGTAACAAATTCCCTTAGCAGTTGCTTGTCTTAAAAGGATCCTATTTCTTCTTCACTTACGAAGCTTAGTTTGGGTGGATGTGAAATTTTGGGTTGGAATTTATTTTCTTTAAGGATGCTAAATATAGGCCCCTAATCTCTTCTGGCTTGTAGAGTTTCTCGTGAAACTTCTGTTGTTAGCCTGGGACAGTTACCTTTGTAAGCGACTTGTCCCTTCTCTCTAGCTGTCTTTAACATTTTTCTTTTATCTTGATCTTGGAGAATCTGATGCCTATGTGTACAGTATCTTGCAGAAGTTCTCTGCATTTCCTGAATTTGCACGTTGGCCTCTCTAGTGAAGTTGGCCAATTTTCTTGAATGATAGCCTCAAATATGTTTTCCAAGTTGCTTGCTTTCTCTTTCTGTCTTTCGGGAACACCAATGAGTCACAGATTTGGTCTCTTTACATAATTCCATATTTCTCAGAGGTTTTGTTCCTCTTTTTTTTTATAATTATTTTTGTCTGATTGAGTTATTTCAGAGAACCGGTCTTTAAGCTCTGAGATTCTTTTCCCAGCTTGGTCAATTCTACTGTTAATATTTGCGATTGTATTATGAAATTCCTGAAGTTAGTTTTTCAGCTCTATCGGATTAGTTTGTTTCTTTCTTAATATGGCCATTTTATCTTTCATCTCCTGTATCATTTTATTGTACTCAGATTTCTTGGACTAGGTTTTGACTTTCTTCTGAACGTCAATGATCTTCATTCCTATCTATATTCTGAATTCTATTTCTGTCATTTTGGCCATTTGGGTCTAGTTAAGAGCCATTGCCTAGGAACTAGTGCAGCCATTTGGAGGTAAGAAGACACTCTGTCTTCATGAGTTGTGAGAGTTCTTGCCCTGGTTCTTTCTCATCTGTGTGGGCTGGTGTTCCTATTACTGTGGTGTTATTTGAGTGTAGTCATTTGGGTTAGTTTCTGGATTTTTTTTTTTTTTAGACAGAATTTCGCTCTTGTTGCCCAGGCTGGAGGGCAATGGCATGATCTCAATTCACTGCAACTTCCGCCTCCTGGGTTCGAGCGATTCTCCTGCCTCAATCTCCCAAGTAGCTGGGGTTACAGGCATGCGCCACCAGCAGGGTGTCAGGGGCTCACAGAGAAGAGAGATTGGGCTCCTCTCCATATGGCAACTTTGGCATGCTCGAGGCACAAATAAAGCCCTACGCTGCTTATTTCCCAATATGAGGACAACAAGGGAAAAACAACTGTGGTGGCAATGGCAGAGAGGCTATCAGTTGCCACTGGGAGCTGCACTCCAGGGAAACAGAGCCACCACCAGTGGGAATGATCAGTTGGAGTTGGGGGTGGGGCATCTGCTTTGTGATCCTGAGCCAGGGGCCCTCCATTTTGAGCAGTAGAGGGTGGAGGTTCACAGAGAAGAGAGGCTGGGCTCATCTCTGTATGGTGCTTGCAGCATGCTGAAGATGCCAGCCACACAATCAGGCCCTTTTTCTTTCTTCCTTAGGCCTAGGACCATAAGGGTGGTACCACTGGAGCTGTAATAGGAGATGGACTGTAAAGAGAGGGGTTGTCTCTGGGATTTTCTCCCCACAGAAACACAGGCCTGTCACCAACTAAAGTGTTCAGTTTGGGGCAGGGAGGCTGTGCTGGGGGGCCAGGTTGAGAGGCCCTGCTCAGTGAAGAGTAACAGGGGCAGGAAACTGCCTGAAAAACAGTCTGGCTGCTTTTCCATAAGGCAGCTGTGCTGTACTGGAGGCCTGAGTTCGTCCTTAGAGTTTTTTCTTGCTCCTAATCCTGAGCACAATAGGAGTAGCAGCTGTAGAGCTGTGGGCCTTCCTGCTACAAGTGGGGGCACCAGGTGAAGGGATTTTGAAAGAGGCAATGGCAGAGGGCCTTTCACCTGGGACAGAGCTCGGTCCCAGGGAGCACAGAGGTGCTACCAGTCTTCGTTATTGTTTATCATATAAAATTTTGGAGGCAACCTAAATATCTCTCAGTAAATAGACAGTTAATAAATTATAGTAGGTAGATACTATTGCAATGTCATGTAGCTGTTAAAAAAGTAAACATATATGCAATGAATGTAAAGATGTTAAGTAAGAACAGCGAGTCTCATGATCATTTATCCATTTAAGGCAATTTATGCTGAAAATTGTATTGATACATATTTACATAAGTGAGCTCACACAGATGTGTACACATACACACAAATGATGTATAGAACATAATTAGGGATTGCAAAGTGGATATTATTAGCACTGATTGCCTCTGGGAGAGAAGTGTATTAATAGGGAATTTTGCCTTTTTTCTTTTATATTTTATATAGTTTAAAATTTATGTGTTTATTAATTTTGAATTTTTTTCTCCTTTATGCGCCGTTGGACTTGAATTAGTTTTGAAATTTATGTAAATTAAGATAAATAATTTTGGGGGGAGCGGTGGTCACTGAAAGAATATAGTATCCATTGTGTTCTGACAATTTATATATGTACCCAGAATAAGTTTAGCTCTTGATGACACTGGGGCATAAGCAGTGTCTCTGCTGCTTCTCTTGAAAAAGTTGACTTTGCTTTCTAAACTTCAGTTTGTTTATAAGTAAAATGAAAGGACTGGATTATAGGACCTTACATAAACCTAGATCTTATATTCTGTGATTCTATAATCCTCACGACTGGAAGAACGCATGAGTCTTGCACTAGAACTAAATATATGTGCAACTGATCACAGTTAGGTTCTATACTCAAGATGAAGCCACAGTGATCTCCTAAAAATATAAGCCTTGAGATAGAGATAAAATCTTGTAGTCTTTCTGGAAGCTGAAGCTGTTTAAACTATTTATATAAGATATTAAACTAGATGCTCTCTGCTGTCAAGTTTTCTGCCATGTGAACCACATTGTGGGTCTTCAGAGAGCATAAAACAAATGCCTAGAGAATAGGAAATGTGGAAGATGGGGAACTGGGCTTGGTATTAAATCCTAAGGCCCAGCTATATTGATTTCCTGGTAGTTTATGAGACACCTCATTACCTTTGTAAGTCATTTCCCTTTTTGCTTAAGGTATTCCAATTTTGATTTCAGTCAGTGAAAAAGAATCTCATCCAGTGCAGACCTTTTCTTTCTCTCCATTTCCACTTCCCTTGTGCTCAAGGCAACTTCATATTGATCTAAGTCACTTGTGTAAGAGCACAAAGTAATATATTAAGTTCATTTAAGTCAAAATGCTAGTGAAAATACTGTACAACATTGCAAAAGCATGTCATTTATAAAAGAGATGATTTTACTTTTTTCAAAGCATTTCCAGTGGTGTAATTTTAGCTATTGTGAAAACTAGAACAGGATCTTACTCTGGTAGACAGAAAGGTTTAGCCTCTCACTGAAATTGAGTAGACTCTTGATTTTTATGACCATGTACAAAGCTAAATTTGAGGGATTGGTCAAATGAGACAGATAATTGTTCATTCTCTGTAAAGTGTTGGGTTTGATCTCTCTTACTACCGCTCCAATAGTTTTCTTTTGTCTACAGGGAAAGAAGCAGAAAATTTTTAAAAATGCTTTTGAATTCAAATGTGAATGCTTTTGTGTTAGGAAGCACAATGATGCTCCTACTAGCATTAAGAAAATGATAGCTGCATTTCTTTAAATCGAGATCATTAAAATAAAATTACATTGCTAGCCTTTATATTCCATGTAAGATATTCTATAATTAAAATAATGTTCTCATTTAAAACACAAGCTCATAATTTGCAAAGCGGCATTATTGCCTATGCAAACATTGTGAAACATAAACAAATTTCCACTAGAATGCCCACACAATAAAGAAGAAATTGCCTTTATTATTTTGTATACCACTAAGCACTTAATATTACAATTTAATTGGATAATTTAAAGTTGTTAACATAATAGATGGCATAAACACTCTAGGTCAAATAAAAGAGTACATTTACTTATAAATTTCACATTGATTGAATATAATTTTAGGTGTGGCTATATTAAATAACTGAAATCATTAGATGTGTATATTTTTACTGATTAAGCAATGAAACTTTCTTATGTTTAAATACAAAAGATTTAATTTTACTACAAGTGAAAACTTATCTGGGCCTCAGTTTTCTTTTTTCTACATTGGAGGTCACAGCAATTTCCTTAAGTCATTTGTGATAAATATTAAGCTGAATCAGAAATATAAAATGTCTGAGACTGTTATATCACTCAATACAATTATTTATTTTCATAATGCTCATTAATTTAAGTGCTGCAAAGCTATTTTTTCTATTTGTTATTTTACATTTCACATTGTAATTTTGCTCAGATTACCTAAAATAGATAACTGAAGCAAACTACTTCGGCAATAAAGGTAAGGTGTGTAATTTACGTCACAATGTATATATACATGTGGTTTCTGTAGCTTAGCATTATCTTGTGTTATTTTAGAATCACTGTCAAGTGATTCTAAAACACTGAACCAAGTGTTCCTGATGAAGATCACTGGTAGAGCTCTTGATGACAGAAGAGCAGAAATAAAGCTGCACGCTTACAACCCTATGAACTTTGACTAAGTAGACAATGTCAAGCAATGAAGAAAGAACTCTCCATTCAATAAAGGGTGCTAGGATAACTGGCTAGCTACATATGCCAAAGATTAAAACTGGACCCCTACATTTTACCATATACAAAAATCAACTCAAGATAGATTAAAGACTTAAATATAAAGCCTAAAACTATAAAAATCCTAGAAGAAAAGCTAGGAAATACCATTCTGGACATAGGCCCTGGCAAAGATTTCATGGCAAAGATCCCTAAAGCAATTGCGATAATGACAACAACAAATATTGACAAGTAGGACCTAATTAAACTAAAGACCTTCTGTATAGCAAAAAACACTATTGACAGATAAACAGACAAACTATAGAATAAAATAAAATATTTGCAAACTTTGCACCCAGCAAAGATTTAATATTTACAATATAGAAAAAACTTAAATAAGCAAACAAAATCAAACAACCTCATTAAAAATAGGCAAGGGATGTGAACAGACACTTCTCAAAAAAAGACATGTGCATTACCAACAAGCATATCAAAAGTGCTCAACATCACTAATCATTAGAGAAATAGAAATCAAAAGCATCTCATGCCAGTCAGAATGGCTATTATTAAAAAGTCAAAAAATAACAGAGGCTGGTGAGGATGCAGAGAGTCAGGAATACTTATACCCTGCTAGTGAGAATGTAAATTAGTTCAGAGACTGTGGAAAACCATCTGGAGATTTCTCAAAGAACCTTAAACAGAATTACCGTTCAACCCAGCCATCCTATTATTGGATATATAGCCAAAGGAATATAAATTGTTATACCATAAAGACAAATGCATGCTTATATTCATTATAGTACTATTCACAATAGCAAAAATACATAATACCAACCTAAATGCCCATCAATGGTAGACTGGATAAAGAAATTATGGTACATAAACACCATGGAATAGCATACAATCATAAAAGAATAATAATGTGTTTTTTGCAGAACATGTATGGAATTGGAGGCCATTATCCTAAGCAAATTAACGCAAGAAAAGAAAATCAAATACCATATGTTCTGTCTTATAAGTTGAAGCTAAACATTGAATACACATAGATACAAAGAAGGAAATAATAGATACCAGGGTCTATTTGAAGGTGGAGGGAGGTAGCAGGGTGAGGATTAAAAAACTACCTATTAGGTAGTATACTCATTCCCTGGATGATGGAATAATCTGTACACCAAATTCTCATGACACATAATTTACCCATGTAACATATATATACCCTGCACATATAACCCTGAACCTAAAATAAAAGGTGAAAAAGAAAAGTAGAAGAAACAACCAGAAATCAACTGAGGAGAATGTTACTGTTGGTGAATATGGTGGGTTATCTAGTTCTCTTTCGTTCTTAGTGGGCAGTGAAGCCTAGAAAATAGTTCTCACCTTGTCAAAATGATGTTTTGGAAATTAAAATGAGAAATAACTAAGATCAGAACGGAACTGAAGGAGATTGAGACATGAAAAGTCCTCCAAAAAAATTAATGAATCCAGGAGCTGATTTTTTTTGAAAAAATAATAAAATAGACCTCTAGCTAGACAAAGAGAGAAGAATCAAATAGAATCAAAAATAATAAAGGGGATATTATCACTGACCCCACAGAAATACAAACTACCATCAGAGAATATTGTAAACACCTCTTGCAAATAAACTAGAAATTTAGAAGAAATGAATAAATTCCTGAACACATACACCCTCCCAGGAATAAACAAGAAAAAAGTCAAATCCTTGAATAGAACAATAACAAGCTCTGAAATTGAGGCAGTGATAAATAACCTACCAACCAAAGAAAAGCCCAGGACCAGATGATTCACAGCCAAATTCTACTAGAAGTACAAAGAGGAGCTGGTACCATTCCTTCAAAAAATAATCTAAACAATTTAAAGGGAGGGACTCCTCTCTAACTCATTTTATGAGGCCAGCATCATCCTGATACCAAAACCTGGTAGAGACACAACAAAAAAAGAAAACATCAGGCCAATATCCCTAATGAACATCAATGCTAAAGTCCTCAATAAAATACTGGGAAACCAAATATAGCAACACATCAGAAAGGTTATCCACCATGATATAAGTCAGCTTCATATCTGGGATGCAAGGCTGGTTCAACCTATGCAAATCAATAAATGTAATCTATCACATAAACAGAACCAATGACAAAAACCACATGATTATCTCCATAGATGCAGAAAATGCCTTCAATAAAATTCAACATCCCTTTATGTTAAAAACTCTCAATAAACTAAGTATTGATGGCACATATCTCAAAACAATTAGAGGTATTTATGACAAACCCACAGCCAATATCATACCGAATGGGCAAAAGCTGGAAGCATTCCTTTTGAAAACTGGCACAAGACAAAGATGTCGTCTCTCAGCACTGCTGTTCAACATAATATTGGAAGTTCTGGCCAGGGCAATCAGGTAAGAGAAAGAAATAAAGGTATTCAAATAGGAAAGGAGGAAGTCAAATTGTCACCGTTTGCAGATAACATGATTGTATATTTAGAAAGCCCCATCGTCTCAGCCCAAAATCTCCTTAAGCTGATAAGCAACTTCAGCATAGTCTTAGGATACAAAATCAATGTGCCAAAATCATGAGCCTTCCTATACACCAACAATAGACGAGCAAAGAACCAAATAATGAATGAACTCCCATTCACAGTTGCTACAAAGAGAATAAAATGCCTAGGAATACAGCTTAACAAGGGATGTTAAGGACTTCTTAAAGTAGAACTACAAACCATTCCTTAAGGAAATAAGAGAGGACACAAACAAATGAAGAAACATTCCATCCTCACAGATAGAAAGAATCAATATTGTGAAATGGACATACTGCCCAAAGTAATTTATAGATTCAGTCCTATTCCCATTAAACTACCACCAACATTCTTCATAGAATTAGAAAAACATACTTTCAAATTCATATGGAAACAAAAAAGAGCCTGCATAGCTGACATAATCCTAAGCAAAAAGAACAAAGCTGGAGATATTACGCTACCTGGCTTCAAACCATCCTACAAGGCTACAGTAACCAAAACAGCATGGTACTTGTACCAAAAGAGACATATAGACCAATGGAACAGAACAGAGACGTCAGAAATAAGACTACACATCTACAAGCATCTGATCTTTGACAAACCTGACAGAAACAAGCAATGGGGAAATGATTCCCTATTTAATAAATGGTGCTGGGAAAACTGGCTAGCCATATGCAGAAAACTGAAACTGGACCCTTTCTTTATACCTTATACAAAATTAACTCAAGATGGATTAAAGACGTAAATGTGAAATCCAAAACCATAAAAACCCTAGAAGCAAAACTAGGCAGTACCATTCTGGACATAGGCATGGGCAAATATTTTATGATGAAATTATCAAAAGCAATTGCAACAAAAGCTAAAATTGACAAATGGGATCTAATTATACTAAAGAGCTTCTGCACAGAAACAAACAACAAAAAACAAACAACAACAACAACAAAACACTATCATCAGGGTGAACAGGCAACCTACAGATTGGGAGAAAATTTTTGCATTCTACCCATTTGCCAAAGATCTAATATCCAGAATTTACAAGGAACTTAAACAAATTTACAAGAAAAAAACAAACAACACTATCAAAAAGTGGGCAAAGGGCTTGAACAGACATTTCTCAAAAGAAGACATTTATGTGGCTGAAAAAAGCTTAACTGATCTTTAAGAGAAATGCAAATTAAAATCACAATGAGGTACCATCTCATGTCAGTCAGAATGGTGATTATTAAAAAGTCAATAAAGGACAGCTGCTCGCATGGCTGTGGAGAAATAGTAAAGCTTTTACACTGTTGGTGGGAAAGTAAATTAGTTCAACCATTGTGGAAGACAGTGTGGCAATTCCTCAATGATCTAGAACCAGAAATACCATTTGACCCAGCAATCTCATTACTGGGTAATATACCCAAAAGAATAAAAATCATTCTATTATAAAGATATATACAGATGTATGTTTATAGCAGCACTATTCACAATAGCAAAGACATGGAACTAACTCAAATGACCATCAGTGACAGACTAGATAAAGAAAATGTGGTACATATACACCATGGAATACTATGCAACCATAAAAGGAATGAGATCATGTCCTTTGCAGGGACTTGAATGAAGCTGGAAGCCATCACCCTCAG
This sequence comes from Homo sapiens, assembly GCF_000001405.40. Taxonomy (NCBI): domain Eukaryota; kingdom Metazoa; phylum Chordata; class Mammalia; order Primates; family Hominidae; genus Homo; species Homo sapiens. The sequence continues at coordinate 166,935,504 of NC_000003.12, read as the reverse complement.
CAAACTAACACAGGAACAGAAAGCCAAACACTGCATTTTCTCACTCATAAGTGGGTGTTGAACAATGAGAACACATGGATGCAGGGAGGGAAACAACACACACTCTGGCCTGTCTGTGGGGGTGGTTAGGGGAGGGAGAACATAAGGATAAATAGCTAATGCATGTGTGGGTTAAAACCTAGGTTATGGGTTAATATGTGTAGCAAACCACCATGGCACACATATACCTATGTAACAAACATGCACGTTCTGCACATGTATCCCAGAACTTTAAGTAAAAAAAAAAAAAAAAAAAAAGTTATTCATGCCTTTTCATGGCTTGAGAGCTCATTTTTTAAATTGCTGAATAATATTCCATTATATGAATGTGTCAAGTTTACCTGTTCATCTATGGAAAGACATTTTGATTGTTTCCCATTTTTGCTGACTATGAATAAAGTCACTATAAACATTAACATATAGGTTTTTATGTGGTCATACATTCCCAATTTGGCTGGATGAATATCTAGTAGCATGATCGCTACGTTGTATAGGAAAAGTGTTGTTTTTGTATGAAATAGCCAAGTGGTCTTCCAAAGTGGCTGTGCCATTTTATATTCTCACCAGCATGAGTGAGAATTCTTGTTCTGCATCTTTGTCAGCAATTTGAATTTAGTTTTTTTTTATTATATTCATTCTAATATGTACGTAGTGGTATCTCGTTGTTTTAATTTGCAATTCCCTGATGACTTATGTTGTTGAGAACATTTTCATATGCTTATTTTTAATCTATATAACATTAATTCATTTTTATGTACCCTAAAACTTAAAGTATAATAAAAAAAAAAAGAACATCTCTAAAGACGTATTTTCTGAAACACTCTTTGGGAAATGCTGCCTTAGTTCATTATGAAAATGTAGAAATATTATTCATATACATTTTAGTTAGGTGAAATAATATATGCTTTAAAAAGTTGCATAAAATATCATAACAAAATATTTAACAGGATTTTGTGTGATTTTATTTTGTTGATAATGTGTTGTGGTAGATTTTTAAAAATATTGGAATCAATAACTTGTAATAAATCATATATGTCAGACATTGTCTTATAAGCAACCTCCCATTAGCATGGATATATATTTTTATTCTTGTTCCCTTTTCAGTTGGCTTTCATTCTCTCTTGGCTGCTGCCATGTAAGATGTGCCTTTCACCTTCCAACATGATTGTGAGGCCTCCCCAGCCACATGGAACTGTGATTCCTTTAAACCTCTTTTTCTTTATAAATTACCCAGTCTTGGGTATGTCTATATCAGTAGCATGAAAAAGGACTAATACAATAGTCCTTGTGTTTGTGTTTAGATATATAATGCAAAGTAATGTATGTTGCATATATTCACAGAAGAATGATTGCATACGTATATTAACAGCTAAAATATTTTAATTTAGTTAAAATAGTTTATTTGAAAGTTTTATTGAAATATATGTGTATAAGTGAATGTTTAAATTCATTAAACAATAAATGAGGATGCTTATGAGAAGCAGAATGATTCATGTGCTTTAGTGGAGGAAGGCAGAAATGCAAACAAGTAATTATGATACAATGATATACGTGTTATAAGAATAAAAATGGTAGAGGATGAATGAAATAAAGGAAACAGTAGGATGAATGAAATAAAGGAAAGTAGCAGAAATAGGCCAAGGGAATTTAATACTGTGGTTGTCATTCCATACAGATATAAAATGAGACTAGTCCCCTGTTAAAAAAATGCAATACCTGTGCGTTTCTCAAATATTGGTGAAATGTTAGAGCACTGTATCTTACTGACAGTCATTAATGACTCTAATAAATAGGAAACCTTAGTTCAAGCAAACACATTATTCCAAATGACAGAAGTATAAGCATGACTAATTAATGAATTTGGTAATATTTGTTCCCTATTTATGAGAACATTACCTTGAGTTAGAACTAATTACCTGTACACATAACTCAGAATATGCCAGGTACTTCATGTCATGCTTAATATGATGGTGGCCTCTCTTTTTATTTCAAATATATAATACCTAAATATTAGGTCAGAATAATAATATAAATTAAAAACATTAATTCAAAAGCTATGTTGCAAAACAATACACATTTTCTTTTTCAAATTTGAAAGTAAGATTCAAAGAGCTCTTCTAATTTGTGTACCTGCTATAATTCTCTGGAGAATTAATCATGATATGAGAAATGGAGATGATTTGGCACCTACAATCTTTTTACACAAAATTCAAGCCCAGGCCCTGTCATTCTGTTATCAGGACAGTTCTAAATGCTAGTGAGCTTTTTGCTCTATTATACTTTATTTTAAAAATTTATACATAAATTAGAAAACTCTTTGTATACTGACCTGGAACATTACCAAATTATTTTATTTTCAGAAAAGATAAAAAGAAAATTTTACCTGCCACTTCCCCAATAATTTAACAGCCCCCAAACTGATAGTAAAGGTAAAAGGATATTTGCTTTATTATGTCAAATATTGGCTATTTGTTTTAGGATACAGCATGAATTTCACTGGTAACAATATTATTCATCTGTGCTGTGGAATTGTTTAATATGCTCTTGATATATATTTAAAAACATGTGCATTTCTGTATCATCCCAAATTAGCCATTGGAGATGTGAATAGTTTAAACAATTTATTAAAAAGTCTATGTGTAAAGAGAGTTGATGGGTATTTTATTCTATCTATCTTGTGGAAAATATAGAAAACATGACAGTATTCTTGTCATTCAAAGCTTGAGTCAGAAGAAAAAATAAATATATGTCAAAATTCAGGAATCCTAGTAAGGCTTACAATGATAGAGTGAAGCCATAACGTAGATACTTTTAGAAATCTTGAAGAAGCACTACATGTGAACATCCTAAAACGTATTTACAAAAAACAATTTATTAACGCTCTAATACTGTCCCTTTATTTCTTATCCTCCCTCCCCCTAAATGGCCAAGATACTAAAAAAAAAATCTTACCGGAAGGCAAAAAGAATCTGGCATCGAAGGTGTCCCTGAAAAATGAGGAATGTGACTGACCTGCTCCAGGTGCCAGTTGAAAAAAACAAGAAGAGCAAAAATAAAAGTGAGATTGAGGTGTGATTAGTTAATGCCGGAAACGCTAAGTTGGAAAACTGTTTTTTTTTTTTTTTTTTTTTTTTGAGACGGAGTCTCGCCCTGTCGACCAGGCTGGAGTGCAGTGGCGCGATCTCGGCTCACTGCAAGCTCCGCCTCCCGGGTTCACGCCATTCTCCTGCCTCAGCCTCAGCTGGGACTACAGGCTCCTGCCACCACGCCCCACTAATTTTTTTGTATTTTTTTAGTAGAGACGGGGTTTTACCGCGTTAGCCAGGATGGTCTCGGTCTCCTGACCTCGTGATCCGCCCGCCTCGGCCTCCCAAAGTGTTGGAATTACAGGCATAAGCGACCGCGCCCGGCGGAACACTTTTATTATGAGTTGTTTTGAAATGAATAGAGCAGCATCTCTTTTTGAGTTCAGAATCTCGTCAAATTTCACAATGTATTTTCCTTGGTGTCATTGTATATCATCTAATTTGAACTCCACAATACCTCTGACAGTTGTATAAGATTTTATTCCCTTGTGTTGTTGTGTTGTCTCCAGGATGTACAGTTGAGATCTTGATCTCAGAGTAGCATTGTGGAGAAACTTGTCTAAGGTTGCAGACTCAGGGGTGAAGCCTCGTTTCATCCACACCTGAGGGGAGAAAATAAAACACATAGTCTCAGTAAGCCAAAGGTTCTCAAACACTTTAGTATATAAAACTCACCTGAATGGCTTGTTAAACCAGACTAGTGGGCCCTACGCTCAGAGTTTTTGATTCAGTAGGTTTGGGGAGGAGCCAGAGTACTGACATTTCTAATGAGTTTCCAGGTGATGCTGATGTGCTGGTTCCCGGACCACACTTTGAGAACCTCGGAACTAAGTCTTTTAGCATTGGCCAATCAAATATAAAAATAAGGGCTTCTAGATTCTCTTGTTTAGAGAAAGGAGGCACCCTTACTTCTGGGTATATGATAGCTGTATTCCATACCTTCCATTATTCAATGAGATTTTATTATTCTTTGTTTTTAATCCCTTAAAGCAAGGCATTTTTTTAAAAAAAATTTCTTTGAGGTGAATATAATTTGTATTTTTGTCTTTTTAGGGCATGGAAAGAGAGAGAGAGAGAATGTTTCATTCACTGTTGTAATACTGACTTAGATATTTTAAATTAAATCAGTAACATTTGATTTGCCCAGTGTGGATTATAAAGATATGGATTTTTTCCCCCTTAGTAATTATTTATTTAATAGACTGATTCTGCAACTTTCTACTTGGTAACCTTGGTCCAGTTGCCATTGCAGCTTAGCCTTATTGATTAAATGAAACTAATAACAATAGACTCATGAGGCTGTGTGGGTATAAAATGTAATATGTATAAAATTAACTCATGCAAATAATACATTTATACATATATAAAGACAGATTGTACATACAAAATAATAATTGTATGGATATACAAAATGTTCAAAATCGGTTTCAGGGTGACTTGCAGGATTTTTAAGGATAATTTTGTTCATATATAACATTGAAACTTGTGAAACATTTATTTGATTCTACTTAAGTATTTTTCAGTTAATATTTTATCATCGCACATTTCATGTTTTAGGAAATTTTTTACCCAAATCATGGGAAATGTCTGTCTTCTTTCCAGGCCACAAAGTAGTTAATAAATTAATTTTAAGTCAGTAAATGAAATATGTGAAATTTAAATTCATGAGCTTCAAAGAGAATACAAAGTCCTTCCATTTTTATCCAGATAATATTTTTCAAGAAATATTACAAACACTGGTTTCTTAACTTTCTGGTGGTGAAGGTTCTATCTGAATTATTTCAAATGTCTGGACAAAATTTAATAATTTTTAAGATTAAAATTTTTTTTTTGTCTTAAAAGTGGCAGACAAAATTGTCCATCAATCTCATTTCATGTACAAAAACCTGTCAATGTTTCTTGTCCTGAGGTTGGGCTGCCTTCCCTTTTGTTGCCCAATATGCTTATATGTAAAGAAATTAAAATATAATTTTAACTTTTTCTTTCTTATTTAGGGCACTGAAAAACAGAGCTGCTTCTATTCTCTACCATGCATATTAAGAATAATGCATAAAATACATTCTCATGTTATACTTTAAGACATAAAGACTGAAAAATATTTTGTATGTGTTCATTCCTTTGTAAGAAATTGTCTTGTAGGAATACAACAGTTTAAACACTGCAATTTTGTTTTTCTAATGAAAGTAACCGAGTCCATATGTTCACAGATGAAAGTAACATCAATGCATGATAAATGACTAGGAAGGTCCTTTGGCTTCCTCAACAGACTGTTGAAAAATCCCTGAAAAAAGACATAAGGATAATGATTGCTCAGTGCCATAGATCTAATAACTATAAAGGAGTGATCCTAAACTGGTCATCTAAATACAAACCAGAATTGTTTTTACTCTATTTTGTGTCCTTTCCAGTTTATTTTTTCTAGTGAAAGAGTAGTAGAATAACCTGTTATTAGAGATCCTGACAGAAGCTAACAGAAGATGAAAATAATTAACCCTAAATGCGTGTAGTTCTGTGATGGTGTAGACCTACGCCAGCTGTGGTCTATTGAAATATTATGGCTTTTGTTTTTTAGTCTAGTAATGTAATTACTAAACATCAAGTAAAATTTATTCTTTCATAAGAATTAAGACAAGTTTAAGATAAAATAATTTAAAATATCTACAAAGCAATAACTCTGTAAATTTTCCATTATACAGATATAAATTAATGAGGTGCCTTGTGATGATTTTTAGAAGTAGATAAATATACTATGCCAGGCAATCTTTAATGTTCTATACATTTTCTATCACCCTGTGAAATGGATATACTGGATTCTATTTTTCAGATTGGAGACTGAAAAGAAGAGAAGTTAAGGAACTTGTCTAAGATTATCAAGCAAAAATTTAAAGCTGAAGTTTCAATATTTTCTCAGAAAACAAGAAAAGTTAGTGATCTCATTATAGAAGTAAGTACAATATAATAAATATAAATACATTTAATATATTTAATTAGAAATAATTAAAATTTTCTTACAGTGAAAGGATTTGTATCACTTACATATCATCAATGCAAAGCCAAGATCTAAAGTGGCTCAAAGTATCAACCTTGGTTGGTAAAAATAGTCAAAACAGGCAAACTTTCTGCATTAAAAATGTCACTTAAGTGTATGTAGTCTGTCTTTAATCTATTGCATTTTAGTTAGGACTGAAAAAGAGCTGCAATGTTAGTATGGTACTTGATACTTTACAGAAGAATTTCATGAGTATTTCAGTTTGGCGAGCTATAGACTTTGACAGTTAAAACATGTGTGGTGTGATCACTCGTGGACTATCCCTTCACCTCCCATTACCACCTAACGTTTTCTGCACTCCATTTGGAATTGGAACTGCTTGAAGAAAAGCATTAGCATACTTTTAGGAATTCTAGTTAAATTTCAATGTTACTTAAACAATATTCTCAAAATAGCCAGGGAGAATTATATTTAGAAATATTTAATAAAAGCATAAGTGTCCAGTAGAGAAAACCAATGTTTAAGTTAAAAAAAAGAGGTTAATCTTTCTAATAATTATTAACACTTTTCAGATGTCATTATAAAATCTGTAAGTTAAATTGGAAAATGAATGCAAGAATTCTCCCTCTCTTAAAAAAGTTGACCTAGAACGAACAGAAATGGACTCCTAAATACTAAAATTCATTGCTTTTCATAAGGACCTGCAATAGAAACTGAAATTGCTATTCGATTGAGAACGATTGCTGGGTCTCTTTTTTCTTCACATCCTTACCTTACTTCTTCCCTGCTCAAATTTTCTTTTCTTATTGCTGTTTTCCTTCTGAGTCCTGTGAGTCTCTTCTAGCAGGTGAAAGAGAGGGATGCAAAACTTCCCATGTACTTTTTTTTTTTTTTTTTTCAGATCTGTTGCCCAGGGAAGAGGAAATGGTGCCATTTTTTTTTTTCAAGATTTTCTATTGGGCATGAAAATTGCACTAATTTTCCAGGGTGTTGGAAGAAATTACAAAATCTTGAAAACCTATTATACATAAAATAGACTTACTGTTGTTTTCATAGGACTCTTCACATTCTTTAGGACAATCAGTTTACTTTATATATTTTATAGTAAACAGTGAACAAGTTAAGAGGAGGGACATGATTGTATGTATATTCGTATTACCAACATTTAGTGCAGTGTTTTATGTATGTGTATTAGATTCTTAGAAAAATACTTGAGAAAATAAATCTTGCCCCTTCCTCAATTTTTCTAAGCAGGAATGATTGGACTCTAGTACCTACAAGTAGATAAAGTAATCTGGACAGAGCAATATAAAATAACCATCTCTGCGGTATGGCTGTCCCTTGAATTACCCTGCACAAAGAAATGCCAGAATGGCATTAATCTAAATGCTAGGTGGGAAAAATGAACACACTGCCTTCTAAATCACATCAGCATAGAGGAGATTAATGACTATTATTTAAAGACTAAATCAAAAGATTGCAGTAAAGGCAGTGCTTCCATTTTGGTATAAATTTAAAATATTTGCCCATTACAGACTAGCATGGCAGTCTCTTGAGTTTTAGTGAAAATTTAATTCAACAATTGAAGTAACATTTGGTGCTTTCACAAGTGATAACACTTTTTTTGTTTGGTCAATACAGGACATTATAGTTTGTAAAGTATTTTGTGATATTTTAGCCTCTTTATTCTTCACGCAAAAAAACTGAAGGTAGATATTATTGGGTTATTTTTATTTTGTGAAGGAGAAAATTAGAGAGGCTATTTAGCAGTTAGGTGGTGCTCGCTCTCTTGCACTCTGACACTTAAAAGTATGTGTTTACTATCTCTATTCCCCAAGATCCACAAACATTTCTACTTTGCTTACTTTTCTGTCTTTACTACATTGCACAATCGCCAGCCCTGAGTAGGTGTAAGAAAGATATTTTAAGATAAATTAGGGATCGTTATTTTCACTATATTTCACTGCCAAGACACTGTGCTAGGTCCTGGGGTTATACAAAATTAAGACAGATTTTTATACTCAAATTCTTTGCAATATATTAGGAAGTTGTAGTGAAAATGTCATTCTAGAAGGAAGGACAGAAGAAAGGAAGAAAGGAAGGAAAGAGGAAAAGATAGTAGGATTAAGAAATAATACTCTTTTGTAATAGGCAGAATAATGGCTCCCCCAAAATATCCATGCCCTAATTCCTGAGATTTGTGAATATGGTATCTTCTGTGGCCAAAGAGACTTTACAAATCTGATTGGCATCCTGGACCTTGAGAGGAGATTATTGTGGTGGGCCAATATAATCACGTGAGTCCTTAAAAGCATGGAAACCTTCTCAGGTATGGTGAGATAGAGAGAGAGAGAGAGGAGTAAAAGTGATGTGATAGGAGGAGCTGACCTGCATTTGGCATCTTTGAAGATGGGGCAAAAGACCCATGAACCAGAAAGTGAGGGCAGATTCTAGCAGCTGACAAGAAAATAGATTCTCCTCTAAAACTTCCTGAAAGGAATACAGTTCTTCAGACACTTTGATTTTAGTTCAGTGAATCCCTTGGCCCTCCAACCCACAGAAATGTCAGACGAATACATTTGTATCACTTAAGCAACTAAGTTTGTGGTAATTTGTTAGAGCAGCAATAGAAAACTGATGTATCTTTTTTTTCCACCTGAATGGCACAGGAAATATAAAACTGGGAAAACTGTTCATTAGAATTGAAAGCAAGGCAAAAGAACCATCTTAGTTCAGACTTCTGTGTTTTCTACTACACACAGCAGAAATAGATTGAAATTAAAGGACCCACCAGCCTACATCTCAAAACTTTCCTTTGAAATAAGAACATGTCTTTCCTCCCAAATAAACCAGAAGAGAGCCTATATCCCATGAATTGCCTTGACAGGAAAACGGCTGACAGGGACAGGCCGTGAGATTCCAAACAAGTATTTTAACTAGAACGCCTTTCGTTACTACAGATTAGCAGATGTCATAGCAATGGTAATGTCATTACTCAAGATTTCCTGACAGAAAGCCTGTAGTAGTGTACAGGTCTAGTAGTGACATCTTCCTGTTCCCAACAGAAAGCCTGTAGTAGCAGGGAGCAGTTTTTGAGAGTCTTCTTTGACGCAGGAAATGTTTAATAATCTGGATAGGACCTGAGAATTCAGATGACTGTGTAGTTGTACTTAATATACGCAGCTTTTGGTGGAGATAGTAGTAGCCCCAGAGAAAGTTTTTACTTGGCAGTAAAGTTCTTTGCTGTCTTAATGATTATTTTAGTCAACAAATGATCTTAAGAATCAAGGCTCTTCCTTCTCTGGAAAGAGGCATATTAACACTGGGTTTAGAAGTTAATTCAGTACATTTGTCCCAAATAGGATAATCTATGCAAAGATGAATTTTGCCTACCAGGATTGTCAAAGTGCTAAATCATGCAAACTCTTCTCTGCATAATATTTATTTATTTATTTTTGTCTCTTAGTTCCTATTGTCATTCCATGCTTTCCTCTATATTTCTAAGGGACTAAAAGCCTGCAAAGTATATTTTTGTTAACTCCAAAGGACAGACTTTCAGGGCAGTTTACCAGGAGACAGCTTTTACAATGAGTGCACTGGCAAGAGGAAGGAAAAAGCCATTTTTGCTGCTTCATGTGTTGCCTACACAGAGACTGTTACAGTGGCTTCAGCAGAGTCAGTGGTTGTGTCAACAGCATCTGGAGCAGAGAGGGCAAGCTTAGTTCATATGAAGCAGCAATAGCAACAGAAGAAAAGGCAGTGACATCACCCTCAGCTTGTTGGAGGTAAGTGTGACCTTATGGACTAAGGCAAGTGACCGTAACACTCTCCAATGGCTGCTCACCATCCCCTTCATAATCTCCAGTCACTTCTCCAGAAAACCCCTTCCTTTAACTCTCTAGAACTCTCTGCCATCAATTTATTTATTTCTATTCCTGTCTGTTTGATATCACCAGAGAGGCTTTCATTTCCCAACTAAACTTTGGCTGCTTTGGTATTTGTTAAAGAAGCAAACTCAGAAATAGGCTTTCAAGGATTGGAATGTGAGTTTGTTAATCTATTTGTCATCTGAAAGTTGTGACTTTTTTGCCAGTGAATAATGGGCTATTTCTGTTTCATGTCAGCAAATGCAAAACTGTACATCAACTGGATTAAATTAAAGGCAAGTATGTGAGGCTGAAATGGGCTATTTTGCTTGATTATAATGGTAGGAATGATGAGTACATTGTGGAATACATGGGCTACTTCTGATTGCACTGGAAGAGCTCAGTCAGTGTACATTCAGAAACACTGAAACCATCAGAGATATTTCAGTCTCCATCGGCCCCCTTCCAGAGGCACCACAATATGCAGAGAATAAAGGACTCCTTTCTTACTCCCACCTTCCAATTCATTATTACTTCCCCATGGCAGAAGCTAAATAATCAAGATGGTAAAGGATCAGTGGAAATAAAGTTTTTAGGCTTCCAGCTTCCTGCAGGGAAGGGAAATCACAAAAGGTTAGAGCAGAGCTAAGTGCCTATAGACAAATAACCAGCTCAGTGATTACATTGTTAACAAGTTTTATAGTTGGCCCTAAAAATGGTCTGTAAACACATACCAGTTCAAAATAGAAAATTCTTAAAAAAAACCTTATTTCTGAAGTATTTATTTCTGAAATATCAGACTAAAAGAGAACTCCCAATTCTTTAATGGTAAAGAGAAAAATATAGATGCAAAAAAAAAATTAAGAAAAAGGAACAAGGTGACTTTTTGTGGCACAGAGGAAGTAAGACATACATACAAAAAATAAATAATATCATCTGTTGAAACAACATATACTACACAGAAGTAAATTTTAACCAGCATCCATAAAAGTCAAAGAAACAAATTTCAAGTACTGTCTTTAAAAGTCAAGGAAACATGTATGAGGCAAAATAGTAGATTTAAGATTAGATGGAAGTGCAGTAGAAGAAGATTGATATGGTTTGAATCTGTGTCCCCATCCAAATCTAATGTTCAGTTATAATCCCCAGTGTTGGAGGTGGGGCCTGGTGGGAGGTGATTGGATCACAGGGGCAGTTTCTCATGAATGATTTAGTACCATCCCCCTAGTGCTGTTTTTGTGATAAAATTCCCATGAGGTCTTTCTTTAAAACTGTGTAGCACCTCCTCCCTCTCTCTTTTCCTGCGGCTCCAGACAGATGTGTCTGCTTCCTCTTCACATTTTGCTATGATTTTAAGTACTCTGAGGCCTCCCCAGAAGCTGATGCCACCATGCTTTCTGAACAGCCTACAGAACCACAATCTAATAAAGCCTCTTTCCTTATAAATGACCAAGTCTCAGATAATTCTTTATAGAAAAGCAAGAGTGGACTAACATACATCCTGTGCCTGGAAAAGCCACAGACACTCAATGCCAGCCTGGGAGAGCAGCTGTGGTGGCTGAACCCTGAAAAATCACAGGACTAGAGCTGCCCAAGCCTTTGGGAGCCTACCTCTTGCATTGGTGTGCCCTGGATTTGGGACATGAAGTCAAAGGTGATTATATTGTAGCTTTAGGATTTAATGACTGCCCAGCTGGATTTTGGACTTGCGTGAGCCTGTAGCTTGTTCCTTTTGGCTGATTTCTCCCCTTTGGAATGAGAGTATTTACCCAATGCCTATACTCCCACTGTATCTTGGAAGTAACTAGATTTTTTTAAAAGAATTTTGACTTTATAAGCTTAAGAGAGTAGCATTGTCTCAGATGAGACTTTGGACTTCGGACTTTTGAGTTATTGCTGTAATGAGTTAAGGCTTTGGGGGAGATTGCTAGAAAGACATGATTGTATTTTGCAATGTGAAAGGACATGAGATGTGGAAGGAGCAAGGGGAAGAAGGATGTGGTTCAGCTGTGTGTGCCCACCAAAAATTTATGTTCAATTGTACCCTCCAGTGTTAAAGGTGGGGTTGGGTGGGAGGTGATTGGATCATGGGGGAAGTTCTCATGATTTAAGAGCATGCCACTTGGAGGTGTCCTCAGTGATGTTGAGTTCTCATGAGATCTGGTTGTTTAACAGTGTGTGGCACCTCCCCCGACCCGTGCTTCTGCTCTCACCATGTGAGACACCTCACTTGCATTTGCTTTCATTATAATTGTAAGTTGCCTGACATCTCCCTGGAAGCCAAGCAGATGCCAGCATCATGCTTCCTGTATTGCCTGAAGAACTGTGAGTAAATTAAGCCTTTTTCTTTATAAATTACCCAGCCTCAGGTATTTCTTTAAAGGGATGCAAGAATAACCTAATATGGAGATGAAAATGTAGCTGGAGGCAGTCTAAAGTAAAAGTGGAGCTTAGGGAAATTACTGTATTAAAAATGTTTAGGTACAAAGTAGTTACTAAAACAAGTTTTAGTGTTATATGGTGGTCAATAACAAGCTATTCTGTTGAAAGCTAAGTTAATGTTGTAATAGGTAAATTTGAAAAAGAAAAACAAAAGAAAAGCTAAGAGATGTTAAATGGATTAAAATAGAAAAGATAATTGACAAGCAGTGGAAATAGCAAGATTAAGCACAAGAAATAATTTAGTTACATAAGAGCTAGTATGCCAGAGTTCTTCAGAGACATTCAATAAATGCAAGAGATTATAGGATATGATTTAATTTTTCTTACTTTTATAGTTTTTTTATGCACACCACATGTTTACGTGAGGCAAACCATATATGTTAATATTTGTCAGATACTAATACAGAAAAAAACAGCATAACAGATATAGGTAATTATTCTATATTTAAAGTGAAAATGTCATTAAAATATATTGTAGTGATTCATTTTTCAAAAAAGGAAAACTATAGAATACTTGCATTATACTCAACTTTCTTCAAGTGTGGCATGGTACATTTTCTAATTTAATTGAATCTGTAGTATTTACGATATTTTTAGAACAAAGATTTCTGAGGACAGAGTGTCAGAAAATATGATACATAACAAAGAAAATTTAAATGGAAGTTACTATGTGACAATTAGTATTTTATTACTTTACATACACTAACTTATTAAATGCTTACGATAATGGTCTAAGATACAAATATTCTTATCTTAATTTTACACAGGAGAAAACTAAAACACAAAAAGTTCAAGTATATTACCAAAGTCACAGCAAAAGCTGTTGAGCTGACATCTGATTACAGTCAACCTGTATCAAGAGTCTGTTACCCAACTACTGTAAAATACTTTCTCTCACATTCTGACACTTGTTTATTGGCTACAGTATTTTAAATGACCAATACTGTATATTTATCACTCAAGGTATTTTAATTATTTTACCATTCAATTATTTATTTAATACTGTTCTTAATTTTTTCTCCAAGAATGTATTGTCATATCTGTATCAATATGATAAAAATTAAAACTGAACTCTTTTCCTATTTAGAAAAAACGTGCAGCTTGCTGCCTGTGCGCATTTAATTTTACATAAACATGCTCTATGAAGCTAAAGCAAATCTGACCAATTTTCAATGTGAAAATAAAATATAAAAACTGTTATTGGTGTTATTTCTAAACAGAACTAACATCAGAATTGTTTGAATCATCAGAATTGTCTAATGGATTCTGATTTTTTGGAAAATTGGATTCAAATGAATCTTTGGGTAACAACTGCTCAAGAATGGTGTTAATATCACATATAGAAATGCTGTTTTATAGGATTTGACATTTTCATCAATTGAGAATTACTATATTTTGCAAACAGAAATACCACTACTAAAAAACAGAATGCTGTAAATAGAATGATGTCTTTTGTTTCTAAAGTCAATATTCGAGAGCAATCCAAAAATAATAAAAGTGAGATATTTTGTGGTACACTTATCTCAGGGTAAATGCTGCAGCTGCAAGTGCTGCCAGTGTGTATTTTCAGGGAAAACAGGGAAAGGATTAACGTGGGAAAATGGGGAAAAAGGTAACAGGTTAAGCATTCTCATAGTGTTAAAACTAATACAAAAAATATTTATTGAATGGAGTGATTTTTCCAGAGTTTAAGCCTCCCATGGTTTATAGTCTAAAAGTGGGAATCTGGTAAATGAACAACTATTTCTTTACAGTTATGAGTGCTAAGACCGAATTACCATAGACTAGGTACTGTCAAGGAATTAAGTAGGGCATCTTTTACAAAGACAGTGGTAATGAGGTGAAAAATGTGACCGATATGAGACATATTAAGGATGTAAAGTATAAAATAATAATAGTAATTGACATTTATGAATATTTTTAATGTACAAGTTACTGTCATAAGTGTTTCATAAGGGTTTTATTACTTAACTCTTATTATAAAAGCTATTAGTAAGCTACATTAACTTTATAGATAAAGGAAACTAGGCATCAGAGAGGCTACATAAGTAACCAATGGAATGTGATTGAAGTAATGTTATGTGACTTGTTAAGACAGATAGCAACTTCTACTTCTGTTCCTCTTAGAGTGTTGCACTGAAACTGCGAGGTAAAGAAGTCAGCTCAGACTTCTTTAGTGTGAGTGGTCATGTGGACTGTTTTAGGCCATACTTGCACTGATGTAAAGAAATACTGAAGACTGAGTAATTTATACAGAAAAGAGGTTTAATTGGCTGAAGGCTTTACAGGAAGCCTCTAGGGTGGCCTCAGAAAGCTTACAATCACGGTGGAAGGTGAAGGGGGAGCAGGCATGTCACACGGCAAAAGCAGGAGCAAGCAGAAGATAATAACAACAGTAAGGGGGGAGGAACCACACACTTTTAAATAATCAGACGTATCATGGATGAAAGCTGAGGTTCCTCAGACAATTGCCAACACCAGCTGACAGAAATTGGTGAAAACATCTAGTGAAGTCATCTTGAAACTTTTAGTTCAGCCAGTCCTCCAATAGGTGGTGTGCTGATAAATATTTAACAATGCGGCTCTATGGGAAGAAAAATGCCTAATTTGTAGCATTTGGCATTTTCTGTCTAAAGACATCAATCATGGTAAATTTCAATCCATTAATGTGATGGTATCTGGTTTACAGAACTTCTGCAACCATCAGCTCTCCGTGTTGCTAAGAGTCAGCTCCAGCACAGAATTGTCTTCTGTTAAATGAAGCAGCATGAGTGAACCCAGCTGAAACCACAGCAGAAACTGCCTTGGAAACTTGCAAAATCATGAGAAATAGAAATCATTGTTTTAAGTAACTAAGTTTTGGGGTATTCAGATACACATCAAAGGACTAAAGAAAGCAATGAACAATAAAGAGACAAAATAAAAAGTATAATATTTAAAATATCATAAATGTTCAGTTGTCTCAATTATTAATAATAATGATACATTGTTTTATTTTCTTAATATTAGTTTAACTTCCTCTCTTCCTATTTGGATGTCTTTTATTGCTTTCTTTAGCCTGATTGCTCATGCTAGGGCTTTCATTAATATGTGAAATAGGAGTCGTGGGAGTGGATGAATATCCTTGTTTTGTTCTGGTTCTCAAGGGGAATGGTTCCAGCATTTGTCTCTTCAGTATAATGTTGGCTGTGGATGTGATCACTCTTCAGGTACATACCTTTGATACTTAGTTTGTTGAGGGTTTTTAACATGAAGACATGTTGCATTTTATTGAGAGATTTTTTTATTCTGCATCTATTGAGATAATCGTGATTTTTTTATTTCTGTTTATTGATGAATCATATTTATTGATTTCCATGTGTTGAACTGACCTTGCATTCCAGGAATAACGCCTACTTGATCATAGTGGATTTATTTTTTGATGCACATCTAGATTCTGTTTGCTAGTATTTTGTTGAAAATTTTTGCATCTATGTTCATGAAGAATATTGGCCTGAAGTTTTTTATTTTTCTTTTATCTCTGCCAGGTTTTTGTATGATGATACTGACCTCATAAAATGAGTTACAGAGAAATCCTTCCTCCTCAATTTTTTGCAATAGTTTCAGTAGTAACGGTACCAGCTCTTCTTTATACATCTGGTAGAATTCATCTGTATATCTATCTGATCCTGAACTTTTTTTGGTTGGTTGGCTTTCTATTACTGAAACAATTTTGGAACTTGTTATTGGTCTGTTGAAGGATTAAATTTCTTGTTGGGTCTTTTGAAGACAGCCTAGAATTAGGTCTTGCTTCTTTGTACAACTTGCCATTTGGTGCCTTTTACACAGGGCATTTAACCTAAGTTCAAGGTTCATGCTGATATGTGTGAATTTGGTTCTGACATTGTGTTGTTAGCTGGTTGTTACGCAGACTTGATTGTGTATTTGCTTATAGTGTCAATAGCCTATCGATTTCAGTGCCTTTTTGTGGTAGCCTGTAGCAGTTTTTCATTTCCATATGTAGCACTCTTCAAGGGCCAATGCTAAGGCACACCTAGTAATAACAAATTCCCTTAGTGTTTGCTTGTCTGAAAAGGATCTTATTTCTCATTTGTTTATGAAGCTTTGTTTGGCTGGATGTGAAATTCTTGGTTGGAATTTTTTTTCTTTAAGGTTGCTGAATATGGGCCCCCAATCTCTTTCAGCTTGTAGGGTTTCTGCTGAAAGGTCTGCTGTTAGCCTGATGGGGATTCCCTCTGTAGGTAACCTTTTCCTACTTTCTCGATGCATTTAATATTTTTTCTTTTACATTGGCCTTGAAGAATGTGATTACTATGTATCTTGGGAATGGTTTCTCATATAATATCTCGTGTGAGTTCTCTACATTTTCTGAATTTGCATGTCTATCTCTCTAGCAAGGTTGGGACAGTCCTTATGGAAGTTATCCTCAAATATGTTTTTGAAGTTGCTTGCTTTCTTCTTCATATATGTCAATAATTCTTTGATTTGATCTCTTTACATAATCCCATAGTTTTCAGAGGTTTTGCTCAGTCGTTAAAATCCTTTTTAAAATTTTTGTCTGCCTGAGCTAATTTGAACAGCTGGTCTTTGAGCTCTGAGATTCTTTCTTCTAATCTGCTGTTAATATTTGTGATTGTATAATAAAATTATTCTGGTGAGTTTTTTCAGCTCCATCAGCTTGGTTTCGTGCATTCTTAGAAGGGCTATTTTGTCTTTCAACTCTTAAGGCATTTTACTGGATTCCTTAAATTCCTTGGAATAGGTTTCAACTTTCTCCCGAAATTCAATGATCTTTGTTGCCCTCCAGATTCTGAATTCTGTCTGTCATTTCAGCCATTTTTTTTTTTTCTGGCTAAGAACTATTACTGGGGATCTAGTGTCATCATTTGGAGGTAAGAAGACACCCTGGCCCTTAGAGTTGCCAGAGTTCTTGCACTAATTCTTTCTCACCTGGGTAAGCTGATGTTCCCTTAACTGTTGTGTAATTTGATTATAGTCATTTGGCTTCATTCCTGGATGTTTTTACAGGATGGAAGTTGTGTGAGGGTCTTTATTTGTGGCTGAATTCTTGTAATTGGTTTCACAGGGGGGTATATTAGTTTGGCTGCAATACAGTACCTGGCCCTTAAGTGTAATGGCTGGTAGGTGGGATCTTGCTCAGCCACGTTGCTCCTGTATACTTGCTTGTATTTGCAGTTGTGCTCACTTTCAGTGTTATGAGGATGTGGGTTTCTCTCCCACTTGAATGCTAGCTGAAGATCTCTGCTTCATACTCCCAGGCTGTGCAATGCAGCTCTGAGAGAACTCAGGGTTTTTGTTGTCTCCCAACTTGGGCACAGAAGGGGTGAGGAACATGGCAATGGCAGTAGCGGAGGGTCTTTCACTTGTTTCTTGGGATTCCATCCCAGAGAAATGCAGAGCCACTGCCAGTTGGAATGGTCACCAACAGGTGGGGTAGCTGCCTTGCAGGCTCATGCTCAATGACCCTCCCTGGTGACAAGTATTAGGGGAAGAGGGCTAGCAGCAAACAAATATTGGTCTCTTCACCTTAGAGTGGTTGCAGCATGTTGGAGGTTAAAGTAAAGCACTCAGGATGTTTGTTCCTTTCCCAGTCTGAGGGCAGCAAAGGCAGTATTACTGCAGTGGCATGGCAGAAGGGCTGTCAATTATTTCCGGGAGCCCCACCTCAGAGAATCACAGTGCTTCTGTCAATGGAAATGTTCAGCAAGGGGTGAGGTGGCTGTGCTACAGGCCCAAGACAGGGGCCAAGCTTGGTGAAAAGTAATGGGTGGGATCTCACAGGGAAGAGAGACTGCACTCCCTTCTGTATGGTGGCTGTGGCATGCTAGAGTTGCCAGTGAAGCAACCGGGCTCTTTGTTTCTTCCCTAGGCCAAGGACAGTAAGGTCGTACAGTTGCAGCTACAAGGGCAGAGGGCTGTGGGTTGTCTTTAGGGATTCCTCCCTAGAGAAATTCAAAGCTATCACCAACTGATGTGTTTAGGCAATGTCAGGGCAGCTGTGCTGGGGGCCCTGGTTGAGAAGCCCTGCCCAGTGAGGAATAGCAGGGTTAGAGATCCATGTGGTAAACAGTCTGGCCACTTTTGCATGAGTGAGTTTCAGTGTCCTGGAGGCCCATGATACTCCTAGGTTGTTCACTCTTTCCCAGCCTTAGGGGAGTGGAGGTAGGAGTTGTAGCAACAGGAAAAATGGCAAGTGTCTCTGTTACCTCTGGGAGCTTCATCCCAGAGAAATGTAGGGCTGCTACTGGCCAGAGAATTAAGGTGGGAATAGGGAGACTGTGCTGGAAACACAGTTAGGGAGGAGCTGCCCAGTGAGAAGGAGTAAAGGCAGGGACCCCTGCGGAAAACAGTCTGGCTACTTGACTACACGAAAAGATCATCCTCAAGACACATAATTATTGGATTTTCCAAGGTCAACATTAAAGAAAGAATGTTAAAGGCAGCTAGAGGAAAAGGCAGGTCATCTACAAAGGAAGCCCATCAGGCTATCAGAGGACCTTTCAGCTGAAATCCTATACCCAGAAGAGATTCAGGGGCTATATTCAACATTCTTAAAGAAAACAAAAATCTTCAACCAAGAATATCATATCCAGTCAAACTAAGCATCCTAAGTGAAGAAGAAAAAAGATCCTTTTCAGATAAGGAAATGGTGATGGACTTCATTACCACTAGACTTGCCTTACAAAAGATTTTGAAAGGAGCAATAAATATAGAAAGAAAAGACCACTATCAGCTAATACAAAAACACGCTTAAACACAGAGACCAGGGTCAGCAGACAGCAACCAACCAAACAGGGCAACACAATAACTAGCTAACAGTACAACAACAGGATCAAATCCACATATTAATACTAACCTTGAATGTAAATGTGGTAAATGCCCCACCTAAGAGGCACAGAGTGGCAAGCTGAATGAAAAAGTAACACCCAATGGTATGCTGTCTTCAAGAGACCCATCTCACATGTAATGACACCCATAGGCAAAAAATAAAGTGATGGAGGAAAATCAACCAAGCAAATGGAAACCAGAAAAAAAGCAGGGTTGCTTACTTAATTTTAGACAAAACAAACTTCAAACCAGCAAAAATCAAAAAAGACAAAGGGCATCACATATTGGTAAATGGCTCAATTCAACAAGACCTAACTATCCTAAATATATATGCTCCCAACAGAAGATCACCCAGATTCATAAAGCAAGTTCTTAGAGATGTACAAGGAGAAATAGACTCCCACATAATAATAGCGTGACACTGCAATACTTCACTGACAGGATTAGACAGATTATCAAGGCAGAAAATTAACAAAGATATTCAGGACCTGAACTCAACAATGGACCAAATGGATCTGATAGACCTCTGCAGAGCTCTCCACACAAAAACAACAGAATGGACATTCTTCTCATCATCACATGGCACATACTTTAAAATCAACCATGTACTTGGACATAAAAAATCCTTAGCAAATGTAACGGAACCAAAATAATACCAAACACAACCTTAGGCCACAATGAGATAAAAATAGAAGTCAAGACTAAGAAAATTGCTCAAAATCATGCAATTAGATGGAAACTAAACAACATTCTTCTGAACGACTTTTGAGTAAATAATGAAATAAAGGCAGAAATAAAAATGTTCTTTGAAAATAATGAGAACAAAATTACAACATACCAGAATCTCTGGGACACAGCTAAGGCAGTGTTAAGAGGGAAATTCATAACACTAACTGTCCACATCAAAAGTTAGAAAAATCTCAGTTTAACAACTTAGCATTGCAACTGAAAGAATTAATTGAAGCAAGACCAAATCAACCCCAAAGCTAGCAGAAGACAAGAAATAACAAAAATCAGAGCTGAGCTGAAGGAAGTCAAGACAAGATAAACCATTCAAAAGATCAAAGAATTCAGGAGTTAGCTTTGAAAACATTAATAAAATAGGCCACTATCCAGACTAGTAAAGAAAAGAGAGAAGATACAAATAAACACAATTAGAAATGACAAAGGGAATGTTACCACTGATCCTGAAGGAATAAAAAAAAACCATCATAAACTACTATGAACACCTCTATGCACACAAACATGCACATAAACTAGAACACCTAGAAGAGACTGATAAATTGCTGGAAACATATACCTTCCCAAAACTGAACCAGGAAGAAATTGATTCCCTGAACAGACCAGTAATGAGCTCCAAAATTGAATCAGTTATAAATAACCTACCAAAGAAAAAAAGCCCAAAACCTGATGGATTAACAGCTGAATTATACCGTATGTACAAAGAAGAGCTGGTGTCATTCCTACTAAAATTATTCCAAAAAATTGAGGAGGAGGGACTTCTCCTCTACTCATTCTATGAGACCAGCATCATCTTGATACCAAAACCTAGCAGAGACACAGCAATAAAAGAAAACTTTAGGCCAATATACTTGATGAACACTGATGTAAAATTTTCAACCAAACATTCGTAAACCAAATCCAACAGAATATCAAAAAGCTAATCCACCACGATCAAGTAGGCATCATCTCTGGGATACAAGGTTGGTTCAACATGTGCAAATCAATAAATGTGATTCATCACATAAGCAGGACTACAGACAAAAACCACATGATTATCTCAATAGATGCAGAAAAGGCTTTTGATGAAATTCAACACTGCTTCATATGAAAAACTCTCAGCAAACTAGGTATTGAAGGAACATACCTCAAAATAAGAGCCATCTATTAAAAAAAAAAAAAACACAGCCAACATCATACTACATGGGCAAAAGCTGGAAGCATTCCCCTTGATAAACAACATAAGACAAACATGTCCTCTCTCACCACTCCTATTCAGCATAGTATTGGAAGTCCTATTCAGGGCAATCAGGCAAGAGAAAGAAATAAAGGACATCCAAATAGTAGGAGAGGAAGTCAAACTATCTCTGTTTTCAGACACAATCCTGTATCTAGAAAACCGTATAGTTTTGGCCCAAATCCTCCTTCAGCTGATAAAAATTTCAACAAAGTTTTAGGATACAAAATCAATGTACAAAAATCACTAGAATTCTTATACAGCAACAACAGCTAAGCCAAGAGCCAAATCAGGAAGGCAGTCCCATTCACAGTTGCCAAAAAAGAATAAAATACTTAGGAATACAACTAACAAGGAAAGTGAAGGACCTCTTCAAGGGGAACTATTAACCACTGCTCAAGAGAATCAGAGAAGACACAAACAAAAATCCCATGCTTATAAATAGGAAGAATCAAGCATTAAAATGGCCATACTATCCAAAGCAATTTACAGATTCAATGCTATTTCCATCAAACTATCAATGACATTATTCACAGATCTAGAAAAAACTATTTTAAAATTAATATGGAACCCAAAAAGATCTGAATAGCCAAAGCAATCCTAAGCAATAAGAACAAAGCTGGAGGCATCATATTACCCAACTTCAAACTATACCACAAGGTTATAGTAACCAAAACAACATGGTTCCAGTACAAAAACAGGCACATAAAGGAACATAATAGAGAGACCAGAAATAAGGCCTCATGCCTATAACCATGTGAACTTCAACAAAGCTGATAAAGCAATGGGGAAAAGACTCCCTCTTGAATAAATTGTTCTGGGATAACTGGCTAGTCATATTCAGAAGATTACAACTGGACCCTTTCCTTACACTGTATACAAAAATTAATACAACATTGATTAACCTAAGTAAAACACCAAAAACTATAAAAACCGTGGAAGATAACCTAGGCAATGCCATCCTGGAAATAGGAATGGGCAAAGATTTCATGTCAAAGACACCAAAAGCAACAAAAGCAAAAATTGACACATGGGATCTAATTAAATTTGAGATTCTTCACTGCAAAAGAAACTATCAACAGAGTAAACAGATAACCTACAGAATGGGAGGTTTGCAAACTATGCATCTAGCGAAGGTCTACTGTCCTGCATCTGTTAGGAACTTAAACAAATTTATAAGAGAAAAACAAACAACACCATTACAAAGCAAGTCAAAGGACATGGAAAGACAATTTTCAGAAGAAGAAGTACATGTGGCCAATAAGCATAGGAAAAAAAGCTCAACATCACTGATCATTAGAGTATAATCAAAACCAGAAGGAAATACCGTCTCACACCACTCAGAATGCTTATTACTAAAAAGTCAAAAACTAACAGATACTGGCAAGGTTGTGGAGAAAAGAAAACAATACACTCTTAGTGGGAGTGTAAATTAGTTCAACTATTGTAGAAAGCAGTATGGCAATTCCTCAAAGAGCTAAAAGCAGAACTACCATTCAACCCAGCAACCCCATTATTGGGTATATACTCAAAGGAATATAAGTGATTCTACCATAAAGACTTAATCACACAAATGTTTGTTGCAGCACTATTCACAATAGCAAAAACATGAAATCAACCTAAATGCCCATCAGTGACTGGATAAAGAAAATGTGGTACATATACACCATGAAACACTATACAGTTATTAAAAAATGAGGTCATGTCTTTTACATGAACATGGATGGAGCTGGAGGCTATTCTCCTTAGCAAAGTAAAACAAGAACAGAAAACCAAATACCACATGTTTTCACTTGTAAGTGGGAGCTAAATGATGAGAATTCATGAACACAAAGAAGAAAATAAGAGACACTGAGGTCTTCTTGAGGTTGGATGGGAGCAGGGAGAGGAGCGGAAAAGGTAACTATTAGCTACTGGGCTTAATACCTGGGTAATAAAATAATCTGTACAACAAACAGCTGTAACATGAGTTTACCTATGGAACAAACCTTCACATGTAACTTAGAACCTGAAATAAAAGTTAAGAAAAGAAAATATCAAAACACACACACACACACACACACAAAGAGAAAGTACCAGTTGGGTAGAGGGCAGCCCTCATCATACACTGAAACTGACAGCAGCTTGATCTTGGTCTTCCCATTCTCCAGAATTGTAAGGAATACATTTCTGTTCCTATTAAATGGTCAGTTTAAGTTATTTTGTTTTAGTATCATGAACAGACTTAAGACAAAAAAAAAAAGAATCTAATGGTTTAACATTCAAAAATTAAACTATTCAGAAAAAATACAGGAAAAGCATATAGTAAAATTTAGCAAATAATAATTACAACAGCATTTAGCAAACTGGTAAGAGATCTTCTTCAATCTATTAAGTACAGAAAATCTACATAATTTATCATGCAGATGGGTTAAATTTAAACATATCTTCTGAGATTTGTAATATGGAACATATGAATTTAATAAAGTTGTTAATACAAGGTCAATATACAAAGATTGCTTCCAGCTTTTAAACACCAGCAATGAACAAATAGAAAATAAAAATTTTAGACACAGTGTTTTGCTATGTTGCCCAGGTTGGCCTTAAAGTCCTGTGCTTATGCAGTCCTCCCACCTCAGCCTCACAACTAGCTGAGATGACAGGAATACACCACTGTACCTGGCCACCAGAAAATACAAAAAAAAAAAAAAAGTACCATGGTCAAAAAAAATCAAATATCTATGAGTAAATATATCATACAACCCATACAACCTCTATGTTAAAGGTAAAAAAATAATAAAAATAATAAAATGAAATATTTAAATAAATGAAGAAATACAAAATGTTCATGGGTTGGAACACTCAAGATTATAATGATGTCAATTTTCTCCAAATTATTCTACAGATTTAGTACACCCCTAGCAAAATCTCAGCCAGGTTTTTCATAGACAATAAGAGGTTTATTTAATTTTTTAATAAAAATGTAAAGGGCTGATAGCAACCAAGCTGATATTGAAGATCAACAAAGCTCTTGAACTCTAGCTATCTTATCAAGAGTTACTATAAAAAAAAGATGCTATGGTATCAGCATAATGAAAGATAAATTGACTGGTGGAACAGAAGAGGAAACTCAAAACAGAATTACAAATTTTATGTCATGTGTTTTATTAAAAAGAGGAACAGTAGAGAAAAGATAGTCTTCTGCGTATGTTACAGAGGCTCAATTTTGTGTCAATATGTGAAAAGAAAATACACTTGACCCTAAGTTAAACAATGAAAAACACTATTTTTCAGGTGAATTTTGAGCTAATTAAGTAAGGTAAAATAATAAGTTTTAGAAGAAAATAAAAAAATCAACTTAATGGCTGTGAGGTATACAGAGATTTCTCAAACTGAATACTAACAGCAGTAATCACAAAGGAGATAAAAACATAAATTGGATTATATATAACATACAGCATTAAGACATTTAAAAAACCATGATGTGGGAAAAAATTTTTTTATATATATTCAATACATGACTCATATCCATAATATGTAATGAAATTCTAATAAGCATGAGAAAGAGAATCCTTTGAAAATATTGGTATTTCATAAAAAAGGATATTCAAATGAAAAGTTACTGAGTTTCATTTGAAAATTTAAATTAAATCCATAATCTAAAACCACTATACACGCACAGGAATGGCAAAAGTAGAAAAAAAAAGACAAACAATATAAAATGTTTGAAAATATGTAAAGTAACTGCAACCCTTGCTTATATACTAATGCTGGAAATGCAAGTTTATGTCAACAATTCTGTAAACCATTTTAGTATCAAATAGAGCAGAATCTATCTATCTATCTATCAATCATCTCTCGATAGATAGATACATCTGTATATTTATACATATTTATATTCCATTAGTCTGCAATTTTATTTCTCTTTTCAGCATATATCTACATAAATGCACAATAAATCATGTACAGGTACATGCACAGAAACTCTATTAAAATAAACCCCTCCAAAAGACAAAGATCTATTATCCATTTTATTGACAATAAATTTGTTGCATACATTGAATAGAATATAGTGACAACAATGAAAGAACTGGGACTAAAGTCAACACAAATGAAAGAATATAAATATAAAAGGGTAAATAATATATTGTATAATTTATATAATTTAAAAAACAGCAGAAATCAATCTATGATGTTGAAAATTAGTATCATGGTACTGCTCTTTTCCCATGGTCCTTGCAACCCACAGACCATGAGATTCCCTCGGGTGCCTACACCAACAGGGCCCTGGATTCCAAGCACAAAACTGGTGGCCATTTGGGCAGACACCGAGATAGCTGCAGGAGTTTGTTTTGTACCCCAGTGGCACCTGGAACACCAGTGAGACAGAACCATTCACTCCCATGGAAAGGGGGCTGAAGCCAGGAGGGAACCAAATAGTCTAGCTCAGTGGATCCCACCCCTACATAGCCCAGCAAGCTAAGATCTACTGGCTTGAAATTCTCACTGCCAGCACAGCAGTCTGAAGTCGACTTAGGATGCTTGAGCTTGGGAGGGGAGGGGCATCTGCCATTACTGAGGCTTCAGTAGTTGGTTTTCCCCTCACAGTGTAAGCAAAACCACTAGGAAGGTCAGACTGGGTGGAGCCCACTGTAGCACCACAAATCCACTATAGCCAGACTGCTTCTCTAGATTCCATGTCTCTGGGCAGGGCATTGCTGAAAGAAAGGCAGCAGCCCCAGTCAGGGGCTTATAGATAAAACTCCATTCTCCCTGGGACAGAACACTTGGGGGAAGGGGTGGCTGTAGGCGTAGCTTCAATAGAGTTAAACATTCCTGCCTGCCAGCTCTGAAGAGAGCAGCAGATCTCCCAGCACTTCATTCAAGCTCTGCTAAGGGACAGACTGCCTCCTCAAGTGGGTCTCTGACCCCCGTGCTTCCTGACTAGGAGACACCTCCCAGCAAGGGTTGACAGTCACCTCATACAGGAGAGCTCCAGCTGGCATCTGACAGGTGCCCCTCTGGGACAAAACTTCCAGAGGAAGGAGCAGGTAGCAATCTTTGCTATTCTGCAGCCTCTACTGGTGATACACAGGCAAATAGGTTCTGGAGTGGACCTCCAGCAAACTCCAGCAGACCTGCAGAAGAGGGGCCTGTTAGAAGGAAAATTAGCAAACAGAAAGCAATAGCATCAACATCAACAAAAAGGACATCCATGCAAAAACCCCATCCGAGGGTCACCAACATCAAAGACCAAAGGTAGATAAATTCATGAAGATGAGGAAAAACCAATGCAAAAAGGTTGAAAATTCCAAAAACCAGAATGCCTCTTCTCCTCCAAAGGATCACAACTCCTCACTAGCAAGGGAACAAAACTGGACAGAGAATAAGTTTGACAAATTGACAGAAGTAGACTTCAGAAGGTGGGTAATAACAAACTCCTCCAAGCTAAAGGAGCATGTTCTAAGCCAATGCAAGGAAGCAAAGAGCCTTGATAAAAGGTTACAGGAACGTTTAACTAGAATAACCAGTTTAAAGAAGAACACAAATGACCAGATGGAGCTGAAAAACACAGCATGAGAACTTCATAATGCATGCATAAGTATCAATAGCTGAATCAATCAAGTGGAAGAAAGGATATCGGAGACTGAAGATCAACTTAATGAAATGAGGCATGAAGACAAGATTAGAGAAAAAAAAATAAAAGGTACGAACAAAGTCTCCAAGAAATATGGCACTATGTGAAAAGACCAAACATATGTGTGATTGGCATACCTGAAAGTGACAGGAAGAATGGGACCAAGTTGGAAAACACAATTCAGGATATCATCCAGGATGAATTCCCCAACCTAGCAGGACAGGCCAACATTCAAATTCAGGAAATACAGAAAACACCAAAAAGATACTCCTTGAGAAGAGCAATCTCAAGACACATAATAATCAGATTCACCACAGTTGAAATGAAGGAAAAAATGTTAAGGGTAGCCAGAGAGAAAGGTTGGGTTACCCACAAAGGGAAGACCATCAGACTGACAGCGGATCTCTCTGCAGAAATCCTACAAGCCAGAAGACAGTGAGGGCCAAAATTCAACATTCTTAAAGAAAATAATTTTCAACCCAGAATTTCATATCCAGTCAAACTAAGCCTCTTAAGTGAAGGAGAAATAAAATCCTTTACAGTCAAGTAAATGCTGAGGGACTTCATCACCACCAGGCCTGTCTTACAAGAGCTCCTGAAGAAAGCACTAAATATGGAAAGGAAAAACCAGTACCAGCCACTGCAAAAACATACCAAAATGTAAAGACCGTAGACACTATGAAGAAATTGCATCAACTAACAGGCAAAATAACCTGTTAGGATCATAATGACAGGATCAAAATCACACATAACAATATTAACCTTAAATATAAATGGGCTAAATGCCTCAATTAAAAGACACAGACTGGCAAATTGGATAAAGAGTCAAGACCCATTGGTGTGCTGTATTCAGGAGACCCATCTCACATGCAAAGACACATACAGGCTCTAAACGAAGTGATGGAAGAAAATTTAAAATGGAAACCAAAAAAAAAAAAAAGGGGGTTGCAATCCTAGTCTCTGATAAAACAGACTTTAAAACAACAAAAATTTAAAAAAAAGACAAAGAAGGGCATTACATAATGGTAAAGGCATCAATACAACAAGAAGAGCTAACTATCCTAAATATATATGCACCCAATACAGGAGCACCCAGATTCATAAAGCAAGTTTTTAGAGCCCTACAAAGAGACTTAGACTTCCACACAATAATAGCGGGAGACTTTAACACCCCACTGTCAATATTAGACAGATCAATGAGACAGAAAATTTACAAGGATATTCAGGACTTGAACTCAGCTCTGGACCAAGCAGACCTAATAGAATCTAAGAACTCTCCACCCCAAATCAACAAAATATACATTCTTCTCAGCACCACATCACACTTATTCTAAAATTGACTATATAACTGAAAGTAAAACACTCGTCAGCAAATGCAGAAGAACGGAAATCATAACAAACAGTCTCTCAGACCACAGTGCAATCAAATTAGAACTCAGGATTAAGAAATTCTCTCAAAAACCCAGAACTACATGGAAACTGAACAACCCGCCCCTGAATGACTACTGGGTAAATAATGAAATTAAGGCAGAAATAAATAAGTTCTTTGAAACCAAAGAGAACAAAGACACAACGTACCAGAATCTCTGGGAGATAGCTAAAGCAGTGTTTAGAGGGAAATTTTTAGCTCTAAATGCCCCCATGAGAAAGCAGGAAGGATCTGAAATTGACACCATTACATCACAGTTAAAAGAACCATAGAAGCAACAGCAAACAAATTCAAAAGCTAGCAGAAGACAGTAAATAACTAAGATCAGGGCAGAATTGAAGGAGATAGAGACACAAAAAAACCCTTAAAAAATCAATAAATCCAGGAGCTTGTTTTTTTTTGAAAATATTAACAAAATAGATAGAACACTAGCCAGACTAATAAAGAAGAAAAGAGAGAAGAATCAAAAAGACACATTAAAAAATGATAAAGGCGATATCACCACTGATCCCACAGAAATACAAACTACCATCAGAGAATACTATAAACATTTCTTTGCAAATAAACTAGAAAATCTAGAAGAAATTGATAAATTCCTGGACACATACGCCCCCCCAAGACTAAACCAGGAAGAAGTCGAATCCCTGAATAGACCAATAACAAGTTCTGAAATTGAGACAGTAATTAATAGCCTACCAACCAAAAAAAAGTCCAGGACTAGATGGATTCACAGCCAAATTCTACCAGAGGTAAAAAGAGGAGCTGGTACCATTCCTTCTGAAACTATTCCAAACAATAGAAAAAGGGGGACTTCTCCCTAACTCATTTTATGATGCGAGCATCATCCTGATACCAAAACCTGGCAGAGACAAAACAAAACAACAAAATTTCAGGCCAATATTGCTGATGAACATTGTTGTGAAAATCCTCAATAAAATGCTGGCAAACTGAATCCAGTAGCACATCAGCTTATCCACCACAATCAAGTCAGCTTCATCCCTAGGATACAAGGCTGGATCAACATACACAAATCAATAAACATAATTCATCATGTAAACAGAACCAATGACAAAAACCACATGATTGTCTCAATAGATGCAGAAAAGGCCTTTGATAAAATTCAACACCACTTCATGCAAAAACACTCAGTAAAATAAAACTCATAAACAGGCATTGACGGAACATATCTCAAAATAATAAGAGGTATTTATGATAAACCCACAGCCAATATCATATGGAATGGGCAAAAGATGGAAGCATTCTCTTTGAAAACCAGCACAAGACAAGGATGCTGTCTCTCACCACTCCTATTCAACAGAGTATTGGAAGTCCTGGCCAGGGAAATCAGGCAAGAGAAAGAAATAAAGGGTATTCAATAGGAAGAGAGGAAGTCAAATTGTCTCTGTTTGCAGATGACATGATTGTATATTTAGAAAACCCCATCGTCTTAGCCCCAAATCTCCTTAAGCTGATAAGCAACTTCAGCAAACTCTCAGGATACAAAATCAATGTGCAACAATCACAAGCATTCCTATGCACCAATAATAGAGAGCCAAATCATGAGTGAGCTCTCATTCACAATTGCTACAAAGAGAATAAAATACCTAGGAATACAACTTACAAGGGATGTGAAGGATCTCTTCAAGGAGAATCATAAGCCACTGCTCAAGGAAATAAGAGAAGACACAAACAAATGGAAAAACATTCCATGCTCATGGATAAGAAGAATTAATATTGTGAAGATGGCCATACTGCCCAAAGTAATTTATAGATTCAATGCTATCCCCATCAAGCTACCATTGACTTTCTTCACTGAATTAGAAAAAACTACTTTAAATTTCATACGGAACTAATAGAAGAGCCTGTGTAGCAAAGACAATTCTAGGCAAAAAGAACAAAGCTGGAGGCATCACGCTACCTGACTTCAAACTATATAACAAGGCTACAGTAACTAAAATAGCATGGTACTGGTACCAAAACACACACACACACACACACACACACACACACACACACACACACACATATATATACACACACATCATATATGTGTGTGTGTGTGTGTGTGTGTGTGTGTATATATATATATATATATATATATATATATATATATATATATACATACATACATACATACCAGGGAACAGAACAGAGACCTCAGAAATAACACCACACATCTATAACCATCTGATCTTTGACAAATCTGACAAAAACAAGCAATGGAGAAAGGATTCCCTATTTAATAAATGGTGTTGGGAAAACTGGCTAACCATATGCAGAAAACTGAAACTGCACCCTTTCTTACACCTTATACAAAAACTAACGCAAAATGGATTAAAGTCTTAAATGTAAGACCTAAAGCCATAAAATCCCTGGAAGAAAACCTAGGCAATACCATTTAGGACATAGACATGGGCAAAGACTTCATGACTAAAACACCAAGATCAATGGCAACAAAAAATCAAAACTGACAAACGGGATCTAACTAAACTAAATGGCTTCTGCACAGCAAAAGAAACTACCATCAGAGTGAACAGGCAACCTACAGAATGGGAGAAAATTTTTGCAATCTATCTATCTCATAAAGGGTTAATATCCAGAATTTACAAGGAAATTAAATTTACAAGAAAAAAACAAATAACTCCATCAAGAAGTGGGTGAAGGATATGAACAGACACTTCTCAAAAGAAGACATTTATGTGGCCAAGAAACATGAAAAAAAAAAAAAAGCTGATCTTTACTGGTCATTAGAGAAATGCAAATCAAAACTGAAATGCGATACCATCTCTTGCCAGTTAGAATGGCAATCATTAAAAAGCCAGGAGACAACAGATGCTGGAGAGGATGTGGAGAAATAGGAATGCTTTTACTCTGTTAGTTGGAGTGTAAATTAGTTCCACCATTGTGGAAGACAGTGCGGAGATTTCTCAAGGATCTTGAACCAGAAATACCATTTGATCCAGCAATCTCATTACTGGGTATACATCCAAAGGATTATAAATCATTCTACTATAAAGACACATACATAAATATGTTTACTGCAGCACTATTCACAATAGCAAAGACTTGGAACCAACCCAAATGCCCATTAATGATAGACTGGATAATGAAAATGTGGCACATATACATCATGGAATACTACGCGGCCATAGAAAAGGATGAGTTCGTGTCCTTTGCAGGAACACGGATGGAGCTAGAAACCATCATTTTCAGCAAACTACACAGGAATAGAAAACCAAACACTGCATGTTTTCACTCATAAGTCGGAGTTGAACAATGAGAACACATGGACACAGGGAGGGGAACATTACACACCAGGGCCTGTTAGCGGGTGGAGGGCTTGGGGAGGGATAGCATTAGGTGAAATACCTAATGTAGATGGCAGGTTGATAAGTGCAGCAAACCATCATGGCATATGTATATACTTATGTAACAAACCTGCACATGCTGCACATGTATCCCAGAACTTCAAGTATAATTAAAAAAAAAAAGAAAATTAGTATCATGGTTAAACTTCTATGGAGTTTAGTTACTGAAAGTAGGCATTAACAGAGTTCTCATATATTAGCAATGTTCTTCTCCTTAAATTGCTCCTGCTTATAAACATGTATTTGGCTGGTAAAAAATTCATAAAGCCGTTTAATATTTCTGTACTTTCTGCATAAAGTTTATATGTCAATAAAAATGTTAACAAGCAAAAATGAACAAAACCAAATAAAAAGAGTGATCAGATAAGAAGGGTTTTGGTAGCATGAGTATGACTCTGGTTTTTGGTTTGAATGACTTGGATTGATACTACGACTCACAGAGAGGGAAAAATCAGAAATCGAAGTACATGCAAAAGTAAAATGATTGGTTTCATTTTGGACATATATTATTTTTCAGGAGCCTATGGGCCAGCTAATGAAAAATACAGGAGTCTGAATAGCAGGGGAAAGCTCTGGGTAAGCTTGAGGATGTTGACAACATTTTAAAAGTAATAGAAACATTGGAGAAAGTATGTGTTGACAGATAATGTAATTTATGTTGTTTTAAAATTTTACATTTCAGGTGTCAGCAATATATTCAAGTAGAGATAAACAGAAGAAGATGTGAAGAAGTCAATGATAGGGTAGTAGGTATGGTTATCTTATTGCGTTACATGAAATCATTGTCTCTTCGGGGTAATATAATATGGAGAACATGGTTCAGTAGAACAAAAGTGTTCTTGGTTCTTGGTTTTTGGAAAATAACTATCATTAATCATATAGAAAAAAAGACGTACAAAGTATTAAGCCATTTTTTGGGAAATAACAGCCTAAACATTTTGGGGGGAGAAAGAAATAATCATCATTATTTCACATTCTATATAGTGATTAAGCTTGAAAATTGAGGGGAAACTGTGGTGTTTGATAAAGAATTCAATATTATATTAATATTATTGTCTTTTAAATAACCATAACATAAACTTAAAGCAAATAATTTGTGAAGTGAATTAAGTGCACTAAATAATTTGAATAACTCAACATAAGTAATAAAATGTTGAGTTTAAGAGTGGCAAATAAAGGAGTGACATAAAAAAGAAAAAGCTATGTTTACAAAAATGCTCATTATAGAATTACAACACTGAGTATTTGGAACTTAAATTATTAATAAAAAGGCATAAGAAATGTTATGCTGTATCCACTAGATGGAGTGTGATGCAACCATTTTAAAAAGTTATGAATTAGTATAGAAATTGTATATAATATGTTAGCTTAAAGTATAAATTTAGTAAAAAATGCACACATGCAAGAAATAAAACATGCAAGTATTGGAATTATAGGTAAATGCTTCCCTATCCTGAATTTTTCTCTATTTTACCAAAATGTTTTTGTGTGAAAAAAATTAATTTATATTGCAAATATAATTATATATAAATAACCAATAATTTTTCACAAAAGCTATTTGTTTTTAAATAAAACGCTTCTGAAACTAGACATTAGCTAAACAAATGCCAAATACTATATTAATGGTATTACTGCTTGTATATTACTTAGTGTAAGTGAAATTCTGTACTAAAACTCAAAATGTAAAATGACTAAAATATACTTTTTATTTCTTGCAGTTCTGAACTTACCTGGTGACTATGCCAAATGGACAATCATTCAGAAATCAGGCTCTGGGAGGTTTTTCTATCTTCAGTAATGCCTTCTAAGGTTTTTTGGGAATCATCTCCATTCCAGCTAATGAGAAAAGGAAGAGAGTATTTTGGGTCAGTTCTGGAAATGGTACAATTATTTTTGGAAATGTCACTTTCTATATCTATTTCTGTGTAAAGGATCACTCCAACACTCCATGTCCCAAAACAACTACAATGTTTCCCCTGATACACACAATTTCATGATTTGATTGAGTTGATCTTCTGCTAGTCTTGTTTTGGCTAAGTCATTGGCTGCATTCAGCTGATGGATCAGTTGGGACCTGGTCAAGTAGTCTTTCATTTTAGGCTTCTCCAAAGCATAGGCATAGAAAAGCAATGCCTATGCTTTGGAGAAGCCTAAAATGAAAGACTAAAATGCAAGTGGACGGTGGAGGATGCAAACAGAAGCTGCAAGATGCGTAAGACCTACCTCAGAGATCACAACATTATTCCTGCCATATTTTGTTGCTCAAAAGAAGTCCCAAGGCCAGTCTGAATTAAAAGAGGTTGGAAATGAACTCCATCTTTTGATATGAAGAGTTGTGAAGTCACCTTGTAAAGCAATGGAGATGTACAGAGATATAATTCACTAGGAGGCATTGTTGTAACAATGTAGCACACATCATTTAGAACTTAGATATATGGCTATACTTATGTAGAAGTGAGAGTAAGAAATGGAGTCTGGCTCTGTGCCCAGGAAGACATTACCCATTTTAATGAGTCACAGACACTATCTTTTACAGTATCATAGATAAACATGTTTTTGTTTGTTTGTTTTTACTTGTGAACTGTGTTAAGACTTTAACAAAATCTAATGAATAACTACATTGAAGGTTAGTATTAAGTTCTATTATTACATGCAAGCTTTCACTTGTAGCAAAGCCTCTTGATATTATAATTCTCTCCATTGGACTATAGTATGCTTGTTTTGTTTGCCAACCTAGTCTGGGCTTGATAATTTTAAGTTCCACCGCACCTGGTATACCACAATAGTGGCCAGAAACTCTAGGCAAATACACGGGTGAGATATAGGGAAATAGAAACCAAAGAAGTACAGTCAACCTTAAGTCATAGTTAGGGTAGTACCTTAAAACCTCTTCTATGTCATGCTGAGGGATTTGTAGGTTATCATCTTGAAGGTGTTGATATCGTTTGGTTGTGTCCCCACCTAAATCTCATCTTGAATTGTAGTTCCCATAATCCCCACAAGTCCTGGGAGGGACCCACTGGAAAGTAATTGGATCATGAGGACTATTTCCCGCATGCTGTTCTCATGATAGTAAGAGAATCTCATGAGATCTGATGGTTTTATAGGTGTCTGGGATTTCCTCTCTGGCACTCATTCTCCTGTCACCCTGTGAAGAGGTGCCTTCTGCCATGATTAGAAGTTTCCTGAGAACTCCCCAGCCATGCTGAACTGTGAGTCAATTAAACCTCTTTCCTTTTTATAAATTACCCAGTCTTGGGAACTTCTTCACAGTAGCGTGAGAATGGACTAATAACGGTGTGTACTCTTCATACATTTTTAAGGAGAGGAAGAAGATAAGTAGAGTTATGTTTTAGAAGGGTAAATATGGTTGCAATAAAGAAAATATTTTTCTGGGGTAAGTGATTGAAGATAAGTAATTAGATTACATGCGATTAATGTCTGAATGAGTCAAGGAGGAAAAAGAAGATAGATTAAAGAGAATATTTGAATTATACTTGACATAACTTGATTGCTCTTGATGAGCAGGAAGGTGGAGAAGGGATAGGCCTCACTTTTTGCAGGTTGTGCCTTTTAAAGACATTTGAGTAAAAGGAAAGTGGAGACTGAAATGCAGCTCTTGTTTAATTTGCCAGTCCTTGAGTCCTGTTAGAACTATATATTCCAACAGAAGCTGTGTTGTCTCCTAAAATATCCAACCAAGTGGGGCATCTATTTTTAATTTATTCACCAATAGAATATCTTTTTCAAGTTTCAACATCTAGAGAAGTACCATTTTTCAAAAATGCAGAAAACTGCTGCTTAACCTGGAAGTAGTTTTGGCTGAGGAAGTTAAGAATGATACTTGGGTTTATGACTTGAGTTATGGGTCAAGTTTTAGAGTTTTGTGTCTCAATATGCAGTCCTTGGAACACGAGCATCAGCATTGTTAGGTAACTTATTAGAAATATAAAATATTCAATCAGAATACTCAATTAGACTATGCATTTTAACAAGATCAATAGGTAATTTATATTAACATACATGTTACAGTTTGGGAAGCACTGCTTTAAAGATAATGAATGAATGCCTCAGAATTTGGTTATTAGGGAGTATTCCTCCATGGGCCTGGCCAGAAGATACTCCAGTTATAGGAGAAAGCCATGGGTCACCTCGTCCAATGGGTTCTTGCTGTATCTGTAGAAGACTCAGAGGAAGCAGGGACCTTTCCAAAGCTGTGAAGTAAGTAAAATAAAAGGAGGAGGGATTTGGTAAGCTGATGGCAATAAAAATTTTTAAAAATTGCATTTTTCTATTTCTATGTTGGCATAGCTCAGTGAGGCATAAAGAAAATGCAAGACATACAAGGATATACTAATTTCCTAGGGAAAGGTCATAAGAAAATATCAAAAACTAGGTGGCTTAAGACAACATGCATTTATTCTTTCACAGCTGTGGAGGCTAGAAATCCAAAATCAAGGTATTGGCAGGGCCATGCTTTCTTTAAAGCCTCTGGAGGAGTATCTTGCCCTGAATTTTCTTGCTTTTGGTGGTTTATTGGCAATCCTTGGCTTGTAGGAACACCACTCCTGTCACATGGTCACCTTCTCCCTGTATGTCTTCACATTGTCTTCCCTCTATTCATGTCTGTCTCTGTCTCCAAATTTACCCCTTTAATAAAGACAACAGTCACATTGAATTAGGACCCACCCTAATGACCTCATTGTAACTGACTACATTAGCAACAATCCTATTTCTAAATCTGACCCATTTCTCAGGTACTGGGGATTGGGACTTCAACATCTCTTTTTAAGGGACACAATTCAACCTATAACAGAGAATACATAATTATCACAAATTTGTTTAAATAATATTTTGGAAACTCTCTGACAATGTATCAGAAAGTTTCCATAGTCAGTAATACAGAAAATCATATTGTAACTGGAAAAAAAGTATCACTCTAAATCTAGTATTAAAATAATGTAAGAGTAGAAAAACATGAAACCTATAACTAAAGGATCAATTAAATTATAAAGTAAAAAAAGGGTTAAGAATACTAAGTTTATAAAATTCTAGGACAGAACACACATAAACATACCTTAAAGGTAGAGTAGAATCAAGCTCTTGAGTTCCATGTACATTTAGACTCCTAAGATGTAGGCCCTCAACAGTTGTTTCCATGGCTACCTCTGCTTCTTTCCAGTCGCTGCTCAACTTTTAATCTACTACTGAGGTTTTTCTTGCTTTCCCTATATAAAACAGCAATCCTAACCAATCTCCAGGGCTTCCCTATCACACTTACCATGCTTAATTTTTCTCTAAGTAGCTTTCTGAAGTGCAACTTAGTTAACTGTTTATTTCTTTATATATCTCTTCTCCCATTAATATAAAATCCTTGAATGTTAAAACTTTTTCTTTGCTGTTCACCATTACATTCGATGTTAGTCTGTATCTTTATCTAGGTACAAACAAGCACTAAATGAATATTTGTTTCACTGGCACACAACTTTCCCAAAAACATGGTTTACAGAATAATTATCAAAAATCTTCTCATTTAACATAGCCCCTGGCAAGCTCTCCTTGATGTATTTTATTCTGTTGTGAGGACAGTAAAGAGAACAATTACAGTTGACATGAAGACTGCAAAAATAAACCTTTTGCAAGAATCTAGAAATTTAATGAAGCTGTTGGTAAGTGCACCCAGCAAGCATGAGGTTAAAACATGAGTTCTGTTTTTCTTCACTGTGAAGCCCTAACATAGAAATAGAGGGCAGCCTGTTATTAAACAGCGAATTCTCTACTATGATGGCATTGCTTATAAAGGGAATCAGAGTCTTTAGAAACAGAAAAACCTACTTTCTTCAGGAAATATGACTGTATCTACAACTATGCTGTCAGAGCAAAGGAAAAGCAAATCATAAACAAAAAACATTCACAAGAAAAAAATTCCAAGGGAAAACAATGAAAACCAAAACTAAATATTTTTCTATAAATTTTATAAAAACATAACAAGATGATTGTAGTTGAGAAACAAATCCACATTGTAGAAATACACAAAGTTAGGAAAGAAATGCAAAGACAAGAGGATATACTGAAATCTGAGGAAGGAAAACAAAAAAAAAAGTTATAAAAATTAAATCATCACAGAAGTGAAGACATGTTGGAGGGGATACAAAGAGTAGCATCCTGCCCCAAATATCATACAGATATTCACTAGGATGTACACTAGGGCAGTTTGAAAACAGACAATTTAACTGAGAAGCAATCTACACTTAAATTTTGGGAAAGTACTGGTGATCCGGAATCATGCTTGAAGATTTGGGATCATTTGGGCTTTAAGAACTTTGAAAATTGGCCAGGCACGGTGGCTCATGCCTGTAATCCCAGCACTTTGGGAGGCTGAGGTGGGCGGATCACGAGGTCAGGAGATCCAGACCATCCTGGATAACACGGTGAAACCCCGTCTGTACTAAAAAAAAAAAAAAAAATTAGCCCGGCGTGGTGGCGGGCGCCTGTAGTCCCAGCTACTCGGGAGGCTGAGGCAGGAGAATGGCGTGAACCCGGGAGGCGGAACTTGCAGTGAGCCGAGATCGCGCCACTGCACTCCAGCCTGGGTGACAGAGCGAGAGCGAGACTCCGTCTACCAAAAAAAAAAAAAAAAAAAAAAAGAACTTTGAAAATTAACTAGCTGAACCATGAAAGAGTCTCACACTAAGGAGAAACTGCTACTGATATTTTCCTAACTAATCAGGACAGATGCAATAGGGACAAAGGAACAAGACCACATAAGAGGTGAATATGTAACAAAGTTGGGAGATGTCAGAAAATAGGAGTTTTTTTTTTTTTTAATCACTTTACAAAAACAACAGAAATTTCTGGAGAAATGAAACTATAAAAGCTTCCCTGGCCAATTTATCTTATTTAAAAGGTCAAGAAAATAAACCTAGCTTAATAATGAGTAACAGAAAATAATTGAGATCAAGAATTCCATTCAGAAGTATTTTTTTCAAAGTATAAAAACAGAATGACATCTGTACAGACAATGAAAAGATGTCAGAAAGTCATGACCACATATATTAAAATTATCTTTAAAGTAAAAACAGATAAAAATATAAAAACACAACAAAGTCAGAAATATAAAAACTCAGAAAATAGACATGAGACTTCAAGAAATATTTATAAAATAGTAAAAGGAAACATTCCAGAAATGAAGAATAAATGAGAAATAAAATATTTTTTTAAAAGATCAAGAAAAATGACATAAGATGCTAGAAGGTGAAAGAATGAAACTTTTTTAAAAAGGAATAAAAGTTATAATAAGAAATGAGAAAAAATAGAGAAGTTAGGTAAGCAAAAGCCAATTCATGTATACCAAAGGTCTACATGTATATATAAGAAATATATATATATACACACATTATATATATAAGAAAACAGAGTGAAACAGCCCAAATACTAGCAACCTAAAAACTACATTTCAAAATATTTGACTTTTTTTTGTAAAGAATTAAAACATTTGAAAGTTTGTATCAAAAGGGCATTCTACAATAAACTTAAAGCAAATACAATTGAAACTAATCTGCTAAAATAGCTAGACATAAAAAACAAATGAGCAAGCAAACCACAAAGGTCATATTATTTGTAAGAAAATGAAAGATAGATGAATTTTTTGACAATGTTTTATGCAGGAAAATATTGAATAGCATATTAAAATATGAAAAGGAAGAAAAGCCCAGCCAACAATTTTATTTCCATCTCTTGAACAGAAATGTTCAAACTTACTAAGAGTAATAAAAATATAAATAAATACCATACAAATTATTACATTTCACATATGTTCTCAAATATCTAAAAGTTTAGTAACAGAAAGTGTTTGTGATAACAGAAATTTTTGCATATTTCTGGAGGAAGTGTAAATTAAGACAATCCCATATAGAAGACTAGCAATTTCTATAAAAATTGTGAGTACTAAAATCCTTGATAAAACAATTCTCCTTTTAGAAGTTTATACTACAGATATATTTGCAAAGTAGGAAATGATACATATACAATTTTTGCAGTCTAACAAATTTTTAGTAGCAAAATACTGAAAATAAAATTTTATTATTGGAGGAATGGCTAAATAAATTTTGATGACTTCATAAGCCACTTAAAAATTAATGAGAAATCTCGGGAGGTTGAGGCAGGAGAATGGCATGAACCCAGGAGGCAGAGCTTGCAGTGAGCTGAGATTATGCCACTGCACTCCAGCCTGGGTGACAGAGCAAAACTCAGTCTCAAAAAAAAAATTAATGAGAAATCTCCTTTTTTTTTTTACAGTTATAAATGGTGGCTAATTAATACAGTTTAATAAAAAACAATGTGAATGGCAGTATAGGTAGTGTGTTGTATCATTTATAAAAAATAAATGAAAAGATATGAATGTGTGTGTGTTTACTTATACATGCAACAAATATTTCTAGAAGAACTCTAAAATTAATAAAATTGCTGCCTCTATGTAAATGAATTAGGGGACTAGAAGGTGGAGTGTGGAGAGTTTATATTGCACGTTGCGTTAGTTTTCTAAGACTGCCAAAGCAAAATACCACAGAGTAGATTAAAAAAGAGAAATTTATTTTCTCACAGTTCTGGAGGCTGGAATTTCAAGATCAAGATGGTAGTAGGGTTAGTTTCTGGTGAGGACTCTGTCTTCAGTTTGCAAATGGCCACCTTCTCACTGTGTCCTCACATGACCTTTCTTTTGTGAGCATGTGCAGAGAAATAAGAGATCTTCAGTGTCTCTAACTCTTCTTGTAAAGACACTAGTCCTATAAGATTTAGAGGCCCACTTTTATGACATTATTTAACCTTAATTACTTTCTTAAAGTCCTTATCTCCAAATCCAGCACATTGTGAATTAGGCCTTCAACATACGAATTTCAAAATGGTACAATTCTGCTCATTACATATGTATTCTCAAATATTTTGATTTTTGAATTATATGAATGAATGCATAGATGAATGAATGAATGAATGAATGAATGAATGAAACAAAACCCAAACTGTAATCCAGTAAGTACTTTAAAGGAAGAAAGACATGAGTTGAGGATGAAGATTTTATCAGTGATTTTAAAGACTGATATTTGGGTTGACTTTATTTGAATAGACAGTGAGAAATGATAGTTAAAATGATGGAGAGGAGTCTTTGTTATGAATTAAAGAGGAATGTGATTTAAAATAAGAATAATTGGGGCTCCTGAAAAATAGTTTCAAATGACTATCACTGGAAAATTAAGCAATTTAGATGGACCAAAAATGCACTTGACATTCAAGGAAACATTTAAAAGACATATATTTAGTTATTAAAAAACTTGTATTATATAAGAATAACAATCTATAAGAAAGTAATTAATATGTTGTTCAAATTACTGTAAGTTGTCCAAAAGTAATATGAATTAATGATGGGAAAAGTGTAATGCATGGAAGTCTTCTATCCTATACCAGTGAGATTGCATTTGTATATGGCCTAACCCTATCTGTAAAGATATTTGACAATTTGTACATGAATCTTTGTCATAATTTTTAAAATTACATTTCTAGAATTTTTTTTTCAGGAGAAATAATGCACAATACAGATAAAACATTATAAATAAACATTTATAGACACACACATATGTATATAATGGATGATTTACAATAGTGGAACTGGAAATGAGCTAAACGTTACCCACGTGATAGAATAAATTTTGATACACTTTTATAAAATAGTGTAATATGAACTCAATAGTTATAGAAGTTTTATTAACAATATCTTTAAACATGTATGTTATATAATTATATACATATTATATTTTTGAAGTATACAAATTTTCATAGCTGGAGAACTGTTTTTACTTCATTTAAGTAAACTACTCTTATGGCTCTATCCAGAATTTACTATTGTCTGAAATTTATAAACTTAAAAAATCTCTTTGAAAAGAACATTTCATGAGCCTTGCTCATTTATTCCAATAATTTAGCTACGTTGTCTTGAATTATTATTTTTCCTATTCTCTTTATTTCTTAAGTCTTAAATTTCCAAATTTAGAAAAAAATATTTTTCTTCACTTTCTTTTTATGGTTAGATGGTAAAATCCTATGCTGTATAAATCACACCATTTTCTATTCTCAGATTTTCTTCCTCTCTTTGTCTCTATGTTTCTCTCTCTTCTTTTATTCATTTATTTATTCAGATGTGTATATATATGTATATATATATGAATTAATAGATAATTTATTGTCAAAACTTTCTTTTATTGCATAAACTTTTAGCCCTCATTTTACAGAAGAGAAAAACAAGAGTAAATATGATTCATTAATTTGTTCAACACTTAAGGATAGTGTTGAATCCAGGTCAGCCTGACCTCCCAAAATCTACTTTTCCAAATATATATTATCTATGCCCCATTAATTCTATATTATCAATTATGACAGAATGCAACTGTTAATATGGGAGGAAATACATAATGCTATGGTGGGGATGCATTGAAAAACTTCTAATCCACAGTGTCGCATGGAAAATAATATTTCAGAAAAGGTAATGCCTGAGATAAGTTTTGGAGAATGATTGGGAGTTAGCCACGTATAGAAGAAACAACTTTCCAGGAAGATGAATAAAAGCACAAAAGTAAGAGAAAATATTTCTTCTGAAATCAGACATACTGGAGTGGCTTTTATTCA
Source organism: Homo sapiens (assembly GCF_000001405.40). NCBI lineage: Eukaryota > Metazoa > Chordata > Mammalia > Primates > Hominidae > Homo > Homo sapiens. The sequence goes on along the minus strand of NC_000003.12, from coordinate 166,893,185 downwards.
AGGTTTTTATAGAGGAGTAGCTAGAAATGAGCATGAAAAAAATGAACCAATAAACAATAATGAAGGTCTCTGAATGATATACTAAAAATTATAAATTTTATCTTGAATAACTGAAGGTAGGACCCCTAAACATTATTGGTGCAAAAAATGATTGTGGTTGAAAGAGGAAGGGCAATTTAAATAATTGTCAGCTACAATTTCTCCAATTCCAGGAAGTCTCGACCAAGACACTAGGAGTTTCCATCTTATTTTGACATGGGCTTCTGTGACTTTTCCCCAAGTAAGGGTGCCAACTAGAATAGATCAGACAAACAAGGTTGTATATGTGCCTCTGTGCTTATTAATTATATTGTTGTAATCGAATTAAACTAGAGAAGTAATAAGGATGTAGCAACCTAAAATTCTTAATTGCTGACTCTGATGATATAATTTGGACCTGTTTACCTATTCAGTCTTGGGATGACAGTCTGCATGGGTTTATGAAATGCTTTTATTGCTAGAAAGATGGCTATATTTCCTGAAATATTTCTATAAATCTTAATGCTTAAATATAACAATTATATAATATACCTTAATAGAAAGTATTTAGATATTCCTAAATATAAGAATTATCTGATAAATAGTTGCTCATATTTTGGTACATGCAAGTGAAGGTCACAACAGTTTAAATATTTATTTTATGTTATTTTTTTGAAATGCAGCAATAATGCTTGAGTCACAATTAATTTAATTAAATTCATTGTTAGTGTTTCTAAGTCAAAATAAATAAGAATTATGAATAAACTGAAAACTCTAGGTTGCTTTAGGAAATAAAGATGTGACAGGAGAAATAATAATTTCACAACACACATTGTCATTTCAAATCTGTTTCCAGTGTCACCTACCACAATTTTATTCATTCTTTTCACTCTGAATTATATTTTCTTATTGAAGATCTCAGTGTTAGTAATTCTGTTAAAGGGGTTATGTGAAGGTTAAATAATCCTTCAATGATAGGAATTGTGTGAAGGAATTTGTTCCCACAGACTGTTAATTGAAGAATTTTTTATTGGCATTAATTTGAGAGCCTGAAAATTAAAAGAAAATATGAGAGGATTAAAACTTTTAGCCACATATATCATTTTCAACAGTGACTTGCTACAAAAGCAAATTTTCTCTTTAGTTCCAAATATTGGAAGAACTGAAAATAAAATATTAATTGCTTTTCATATATACTAGTATGTGTATAATAAATATAAAATATAATATATACATATACACATTTAAACAAAGATTTTTAGAAAATAATTTGGTTAATTTATTTGAAGCATATAATATTCTAAATAATTGGAGGGTTTGGGCTGTGGTAACTTGAATAATAAGGAGTCCTCTGAGAAAGATTACTTTTTTCCAGTTGAGAAATGAATTTATTAAACACGGTAAATATTACTTTGCCTGTTTTAATTGATATTCAGTCACATATACAATTATTTACTTGAAAAATTCAGACAGAATGTTTAAGGCCTAGAATGTGTTCTCCAGAATAGAATTTGACATTCCTAAGAAACAACTTCAGGCCCTTCACCACTTACCCTATTTTACTGATCAACCTGCTACTATATCACTTTCTACTCTCATTCCATAGTTTCTCTAAAAACGTTAGCACTCATCACAGTCTTTTTTTAAGGGATTTTACTCTTTCTTATTTATTGTCTCTTTTTCACAAGAATATATATTCTGTGCCAGCAGGGTCCTCTTTGTCAGTTTTGTTCACTGCTATGACTTCAGAACCTACAACAGTACCTGACACATAATAGATGTTCAATAAATATTTTGTGAACAAATATATGCTGCAATTTACATTTGGTAAGAAGAAACTGATCCAGAGGGATTATGTGGGTTGGTTAAGGTCAGATGTCTATCTTGCAAAAATTTTAGAAACAAACCAGGTTTTGTAGCACATAGAAAAATACATTTTCTGATTCCTGAATTCTTTCATATGTAATCCTTGGTATATACACACACACATGCACACATACACATATGTATATACACAATGTATTATACCCATATACAAATTTATTAACCAAAATTTTTTGTCTGAGTTATTTCAAATATTAAAAAAAAATTTTCTAATGATATCATCATCTAAAATCACTAAAGACAATTTGCTATAACAAAAAGTAAAATCCACTGTTCAGAAACCTTACATTAAATCAAAGCTGCTCTCATGTATTATGAATATATTGGATGTTCAGGAGCATAATAAAAATAGATATGATAAATGGCATCAAAAATTGACATAACTATTTAATTTTGTTTATATTTAGATATATGAAGATGTAGACATTTGGATATAATAAGTAGGTATATGTACTATATCTACTTTTATATATGCATATGCACTATATATACATACTGTATATACAATATAGACATATAGATATAGAGATTTGCAAGTATATAGATGTAGTATACATATGTGTGTGTGTATGTATACGTATATAGGCACACATAATACACATGTAGTACCAAAGTTATTTTAATGTTAATTTGAATAAGAAATGAATAAAAAATTTTATTAGAAAAGACATCTTTAAAGTAACTTTTTATTACGTATTTTCATTTTATCTCTGGTTAGGTTTCGTGGTGACTGAGAAAAAGCAAAACAAATACACAAATATGAACCCTCAATACCTTATTGGATAATCCATTAAATTTATCTATTTTTTGGCAACAGGTACTCACTGTGTTTGTCTTTAGTTCAAAGTTATTCAGTATGAGAGAAAACAAATGATCCTTTTGGAGAAAAAGTGCAAACCAAGTCAGTATTCTGCCTCTGCAGTCCTTCCAGAGTGTGCTGATTTGGCTGCCTGGCATTACTCTGCTTACCTCCAGCAAGTTTTTGATTATTATTTGGAAATCAGCTAAATTATACTCTCAGCCTAGTTTGTGCTATTGAGGTTCCACACTCAAGACCACTGGAGCAGTGCATCAGATTATCCAAGCCATTGTTCTGCATTGTGGTAAACAATATATCTCAAGCCTTGTGAAGTGACTGGAAAAGATGCTTTGCATTTTCTGTTAGATGGGACTCAGAAAAGACAAATTTTTAGAACTTGTAGCACTCATTCTTCAGCCATGAGGTTAGAAAAATCCAAAATGAGAAGAAAATCAAGTTGAACAGAGGTGCTGCAAATCTGGGTCCTGCTAGGATTTTTTTTCTACCTTGTATTCACATTTCAGATTAAAACTGGAACGTATCTGTGATGGTTAATACTGAGTGTCAACTTGATTGGATTGAAGAATACAAAGTATTGATCCTGGGTGTCTTACTCCAGCCCATTTATCGAGTGACCCAAAAGGCTGCCAGTTTTGAATGGGGTACAGAACAGGAGAAGACTCTGCAACAGGTCCAGGCTGCTGTGCAAGCTGCTCTGCCACTTGGGCCATATGACCCAGCAGATCCAATCGTGCTTGAAGTGTCAGTGGCAGATAGGGATACTATATGGAGCCTTTGGCAGGCCCCCATAGGTGAATCATAGGGGAGACCTCAAGGATTTTAGAGCAAGGCCCTGCCATCTTCTGCATATAACTACTCTCTTTTTGAGAGACAGCTGTTACTGGGCTTTGGTGGAAACTGAACTTTTGACTAAGGGTCATCAAGTCACCATGTGATCTGCACTGCCTATCATGAACTGGGTGCTGTCTGACCCATCTAGTCATAAAGTGAGTCATGCACAGCAGCATTCCATTATCAAATAGAAGTGTCTATACGTGTTTGGGCTCAAGCAGGTCCTAAAAGCACACGTAAGTTACATGAGGAAGTGACTCAAATACCCATGGTCTTCACTCCTGCCACCCTGTACCTCTCCCCCAGCCTGCACCAGCCTTATGGGGAGTTCCTTATTATCAACTGACAGAAGAAGAGAGACTAAGCCTGGTTCACAGATGGTCCCACACAACATGCAGGCACCATTCGAAAGTGGACAGCCACAGCATTACAGCTCCTTTCTAGGACATCCCTGAAGGAGGACTGTGCTAGGGGGAAATCTTCCCACTGGGCAGAACTTCCAGCAGTGCACTTAGTTTTACACTTCACATGGAAGGAAAAATGGCCAGATATGCGATTATATACTGATTCATGGCCTGTAGCCAATGCTTTGGCTGGATGGTCAGGGACTGGAAAGAAGCATGATCGGAAAATTGGTGACAAAGAAATTTGGGTAAGAGGTATGTGGATGGACCTCTCTGAGTGGTCAAAAACTGTGAAGATATTTGTATCCCATGTGAGTGCTCACCAAAGGGTGACCTCAGCAGAAGAGGATTTTAATAATCAAGTGAATAGGATAACTCGTTCTGTGGATACCCCTCAGCCTCTGTCCCCAGCCATCCCTATCATTGCCCAATGGGCCTATGAACAAAGTGAACATTGTAGCAGGGATGGAGGTTACACATTGGCTTAGCAACATGGACTTCCACCACCAAGGCTGACCTGGCTACGGCCACTGCTGAGTGCCCAATTTGCCATCAGCAGAGACCAACATTGAGCCCTCGATATGGCACCATTCCTCAGGGTGATCTGCCACCTACCTGGTGGCAGGTTGATTATATTGGACCTCTTCCATCATAGAAAGGGCAGATGTTTGTCCTCACTAGAATAGATACTGACTCCGGATATGGGTTTGCCTATCCTGCGCACAATGCTTTTGCCAATGCTACCATCTGTGGAATCACAGAATGCCTTATCCACCGTCATGGTATTCCACACAGCATTGTCTCTGACCAAGACACTCACTTTACAGCTAAAGAAGTATAGCAGTGGCCTCATGCTCATGGAATTCACTGGTCTTACTATGTTCCTTATCATCTTGAAGCAGCTGGATTGATAGAAAGGTAGAATGGCCTTTTGAAGCCACAAGTACAATGCTAACTAGGTGACAATACTTTGCAGGGCTGGGGCAAAGTTCTCCAGAAGGTGGTGTATGCTCTGAATCAGTGTCCAATATATGGGTAGTGTTTCTCCTGTAGCCAGGATTCACGGGTCAAGAAATCAAGGTGTAGAAATGGAAGTGGCACCACTCACCATTACCCCTAGTGATCCACTAGTAATAATTTTTTGCTTTCTGTTCCCACAACATTACGTACTGCGTGCCTAGAGGTCTAATTCCAGAGGGAGGAATGCTGCTACCAGGAGACACAACAACGATTCCATTAAACTGGAAGTTAAGATTGTCATCTGGATACTTTGGGCTCCTCCTACCTTTAAGTCAACAGGCTAAGAAGGGAGTTACAGTGTTAGCTTGGGTGATTGGCTGGGACTGTCAAGATGAAATTAGTCTAGTACTCCACAACGGAGGTAAGAAAGAGTATGCATGGAATACAGAAGATCCATTAGGGCATCTCTTAGTATTACCATGCCCTGTGATTAAGGTCAGTGGGAAACTAAAACAGCCCAATCCAGGCAGGACTGCACATGACCCAGACGCTTCAGGAATGAAGGTTTGGGTCACTCCACCAGGAAGAGATCCACTACCTGCTGAGGTGCTTGCTGAAGGCAAAGGGAATATAGAATGGATAGTAGAAGAATGTAGTCATCAATACCCGTTATGACCACATGATCAGCTGCAGAAATGAGGACTGTAATTGTTATGAATATTTCCTTCTTGTTTTGTTTAAAACATATTTGTGCACATATAGACTTGTACTAAGAAAATATCTTCATTTTATTTGCTTTCTCCTTTAACATGTGACATAAGATTTATTGACTTCACATCAACGTCTAAGTATTGTTAACTTTATGTAGTCGTATTT